>NC_000011.10:98687576-98990606 GCF_000001405.40 Homo sapiens | reverse complement strand
TGCTAGCTAGTTTACCAAGAAAAACAGAGAGCAGACCCCAAATAAACAGACTAATATTAAAATTGTAAATGTGATAAAAATCTCCCAACAACGAAAATCCCGGGTTCAAATGTCTTTGCTTCCAAATTTTATCAAACAGATAATGAAGAATTAACACCAATTCTGTGTGAATTATTTCAACAGTTGAAGGGGGGTGGGGATTCTTTCAACTAATTATGTGAGGCCGTCATTACCCTGATACCAAAACCAGAGAAACTCACTACAAAAAAAAAAAAAAAAGAAAGAAAGAAAATTACAGGCTGATATTCCTGATGAAAATAGACATAGAAATCCTTAACAAAATACTTGCAAACCAAATCTAACAACACATCAAAAGATAGTATTTCTAATCAAGTGGGATTTATCTCAAGGATGTAAGGCTGGTTCAGCATACCCAAATCAATAAATCAATAAATGTGATGCATTACATCACCAGAATGAAGGACATAAGTCTTATGATCCTCTCAATAGATGCAGAAAAGTCATGTAACAATATTAAACATCCCTTCATGATAAAAACTCTCAATAAATTAAGTATAGAAGGGGCATATCTCAACATAATAAAGGTCCTATATGACAAACCCACAGCTAAATTATAGTGAATGGGAAAAAACAATCACCTTCCCTCTAAGAACTGGAACAAGACACAAATGTCAACTTTCACCTCTCTTATTTACCGCAGTACTAAAAGTTCTAGCCAGAGCACACATGCAAGAGAAAGATCTAAAAGGCCTCCTACTTTGGAAAGAGGAAATCAAATAATCTCTCTTTGCAGGTGGCATGCTTTAAGATATAGAAAAACCTAAAGACCACCAAAAACTCCTAGAGCTGATAAATGAATACAGTAAAGTTGCAGGATACAAAATCAATATACAAAATCACTAGTGTTTCTATACACCAATAACGACCTAGATGACAAAAAAATTAAGAAAGCAATCTCATTTACAGTAGCTACAAGAATACCTAGTAAAAAATGTAACTAAGGAGGTATAAGACCTCTATTTTAAAGAGTGATGAAAAAATTAAAGAGGACAAAAACAAATGGAAAGAAATTCCATGCTCATGTATTGGATGAATTAATATAATTTAAATGACCATGTAACTCAAAGGAATTACAGAATTAATGCAATCTCCATCAGGATACCAATGACATTCTTCACAGATATAGAAAAATCTCTAAAATTTGTATAAAACCACAAAAGAACCTGAACAGAAAAGTCAATTTGGACCCAAAAGAACAAAACTGAAACATCAGAATATCTAGCTTCAAAATGCAGTGGAAAATGATAGTAACCAAAACAATATAATACTGATATAAAACCAGAAACATAGACCTATAAAACAAAGTAGAGAAACCAGAAATAAATTCACATATTAACAACCAACTCATTTTAAACAAAGGCACCAACAGCACAAATTGAGGAAAGAACACTTTCTTCAATAAAATGGTTATGGAGAAACTAGATATTCATATAAGAAATAATAAAACTAGACCCCTATCTCTCACCATTAATAAATATCAAATCAAAATGGATTTAAGACCTAAATGTAAGGCCTGAATCTTTGTAATTGGTAGAAGAAAACATAGAAGAAATGTTCCAGGACGTTGGTCCAGGCAGATATTTTATGGCTAAGACCTCAAAAATACAGGAAACAGAAACAAAAATAGACAAATGGAACTAAAATATACTAAAAAGTTTGTACACAGCAAAAAAAAAAAAAAAAAAGAGTGAAGAGACAAACTGGAATAAGGGAAAATATTTGCACACTGTCTTCCAACAAGACTACTATCCAGAATATACAAGGAAATCAAACTACTCAACAAGAAAAAAGAAAAATCAAACAAATAATCCCATTGAATAGTGGGCAAAGTATCCAGATAGATATTTCTTAAAATAAGACATAAAAATTGTCAACAGATATATAAAAAAATGCTCAACATCACTAAGTATTAGGGAAATACAAGTCAAATCCACAATGATATATTATTTTACCACGGTTAGAATGGCTATTATCAAAAAGACAAAAACTAAAAATAAAACATTGCTGGTGAGGATGTGTAGAAAAGGGAACTCTTTATAGACTGTTGGTGGGCATGTAAATTAGTACAGCCATTATGGGAAACAAATAGATTTTTCTCAGAAAACTAAAAATAGAGCTACTTTATAAAGTAGCTCTATCCAGCATTCCTATTACCAAATATTTATCTGCAGAAGAAGAAATCAGTATATCAAAGAAATACCTGTACCCCATTATTTATTGCAGCACTATTCACATTAGGACCAAATGTGGAATCAACCTAAGTGTCCATCAATGTCTAAATGGATAAAAAATACTATGAATATTTATACACAATGGAATATTCTTTAGCCGTAACAAAAAATGAAATTCTGTCATTTGTAGCAACATTGATGGAACTGAAGTTTATTATGTTAAGTGAAATAAGGCAGGCAGAAAAAACATATATTGCATGTTCCCACTCATATGTAACAGGTAAAAAAATCTGGTCTCTTGGAAGCAGAGTAGAGTGATAGTTAACAGAGATTTCAAAGGATTGGAGAAAGGAGATAAAGTGAGGTTTGTTAATGGGTACAAACATTCAGTTAGTTAGGAACAAAAATTTCAGTGCTTGATAGCACATCAAGATGACTATAGTTAACAACATTGTATATTACATAGTATAATTCAAAATTGCTAGAATAATTTTGTAAATTTTCACTTTAAATTTTTTTATTTTTGTGAGTACATAGTTAAGTATGTATATTTATGGGGTGCATGAGATGTTTTGATATCAGCATGCAATGTAAAATAAGATCATGGAGAATGGGGTTTCCTTCTCCTCAAGCATTTATCCATTGAATTAAAAACTATCCAATTACACTTTTAAAGTTACTTTAAAATGTAGAATTAAGTTACTATGAACTGTAATTACCCTGTTGTGCTATCAAATACTAGGTCTTATTCATTCTTTCGATTTTTAGTACCCATTAACTATTCCCACTTTCCCTGCCCCTCCAACAGCCACTTACTATCCTTCTCAGCCTCCAGTAACCGTGCTTCTATTCTCTAACTTTATGAGTTCAATTATATTAATTTTTACCTCCCCCAAATAAGTGAGAACATATGACGTATGTCTTTCTGTGCCTGGCTTATCTCGCTTAACATAATGATCTCTGGTTCTTTCCTTGTTGTTGCAAATGTTTGTATCTCATTTGTTTTATGGCTGAATAGTACTCCATTGTGTATACATACTACATGTTCTTTATTCATACATCTGTTGATGGACACTTAGGTTGCTTCCAAATATTGCCTATTGTAAACAGTCCTGCAACAAACACAGGAGTGCAAGTATCTCTTTGACATACTGATTTTCTTTCTTTTTGGGTATATACCTAGCAGTGGACTTGTTGGATCATATTATAGCTCAATTTTTTGTTTTTTGAGGACCCTCCAAACAATTCTCCATAGTGGTTTTACTAATTTACCTTCCTATCAGTGTAAGAGAGTTCCCTTTCTTCACGTCCTCACCAGCATTTGTTATTGCCTATCTTTTGAATATAAGACATTTTAATTGAGGTGAGATGATATCCCATGGTAGTGAATTTCTTTAATGATCAGTGATGTTGAGCACCTTTTCATATACCTGTTTGCCATTTGTATGTCTTCTTTTGAGAAATGTCTATTCAAATATTTTGACCACTTTTGATTGGATTATTAGATATTTTTCCTATAGAGTTGTTTGAGCTACCTGTTAATATGTATTTTGGTTATTAACTCCTTGTCAGATGAATAGTTTGCAAGTATTTTCTCACATTCTGTGGGAGAAAATATTCACTTTGCTGATTGTATGCTTTGCTATGCAGAAGTTATTATTTTTTTAACTTGATGTGATCCCATTTGTCTATTTAGCTTTGGTTGTCCATGTTTGTGAGTACTACTCAAGAAATATTTCTCCAGTCCAAAGTCCTGGAGATTGTCCCCAATGTTTTCTTGTAGTAGTTTCATAGTTTTAAGTCTTAGATGTAAGTCTTTAATCCATTTACATTTGAATTTTGTATGTGGTGAGAGAGAGGGGTCTAGATTCATTCTTTTGTATATAGATATGTAGTTTTCTAAGCACCATTTATTGAAGAGACTGTTTTTTCCCATGTATGTTCTTGGAAACTTTGTCGAAAATGAGTTCACTATAGGTGTCTGGATTTGTTCATGGGTTCTCTATTCTTTTCCATTGATCTATGAGTTTGTTTTTTTGCCAGTACCATACTTTTTTGGTTACTATAGTTCTGTAGTATAATTATAAGTGAAGTAATGTGATTCCTCCGGTTTTATTTTTATTGCTTAGGAGAGTTTGGCTATTCTGGGTCTTTTGTGGTTTTATATAAATTTTAGGGTATTTTATTTCTGTGAAGAATGTCATTGGTATTTTGATAGGGATGGCATTGAATCTATAGATTGTTTAGGATAGTATGGACATTTAAAAAATATTGAGTCTTCCAATCCATGAACAAGGAATATTTTTTCTATTTTCTGACTCCTACTCACTTTTTTCCATCAGTGTTTTGTAGTTTTCATTATAGATTTAACTTCTTTTGTTAATTCCTTGATATTTAATTTTACGTGTGGCTATTGTAAATGGGATTACTCTTTTATTTATCTTTCACATTGTTCACTGTTGCCATATAGAAATGCTACTGATTTTAGCATTTATTTTTAGATGAAGAGTTTAGTCCATTTATTTTTAATGTTATTATTGATACGTAAGGACTTACTCGGGCCATTTTGTTATTTGTTTTCTTGTTTTATGGTCTTCTCTTCCTTCTTTCTTACCTTCCTGTATTCTTTTAGTGAAGGTCATTTTCTCTGGTGATGTGATTTAGTTTCTTGCTTCTTATGTTTTTGTGTCTACATTGTATGCTTTTTGATTGGTTACCATGAGTCTTGCAAATACTATCATATTACTCATCATTTTCACCTGATAAGAACTTAACATTGTTTGTATAAACAAACAAGCAAAAATTAATTAAAAAACTCTATGCTTTAATTTCATCCCCCTACTTTTAATATTTTTGTTGCTTCTATTTATATACTATTGTACTAAATATGTCTTGAAAAGCTGTTGTTTAATTTTTTATTGGGTTATCACTTAGCTTTCTACTTGAATAAGTGTAGTTTACAGACCACAGTTACAGTGTTAGAATATTCTGTGTTTTTCTGAGTACTTACTATGACCAGTGAGTTTTGTATCTTCAGATGATTTCTTATCGCTTGTTAATGTCTTTTTCTTTCTAACTGAAGTACTCCCTTTAGCATTTCTTGTTGGATAAGTCTGGTGTTTATGAAATCCCTCAGCTTTTGCTTTTCTAGAATACACAGCATATTTTATCCTAGCATAAAACTTGTTTTTTAGCCCAACGAGGTGGCTCATGCCTGTAATCCCAGCACTTTGGGAGGCTGAGGCAGGTGGATCACAAGGACAAGAAATTGAGAGCATCCTGGCCAACATGGTGTAACCCCGTCTCTACTAAAAATACAAAATTTAGCTGGGTGTGGTGGCACACACTTGTAGTCCCAGCTACTTAGGAGAATGACGCAGGAGAATCACTTGAACCCGGGGAGGGGAGGTGGAGGTTGCAATGAGCCAAGATCAAGCCACTGCACTCCCACCTGGTGACAGAGCGAGACTGCATCTCAAAAAAAAAAAAAAAACTTTTTTTCCAGCACTTTAAATATGTCTTAC
The DNA here is from genome assembly GCF_000001405.40 of Homo sapiens. Classification (NCBI taxonomy): domain Eukaryota; kingdom Metazoa; phylum Chordata; class Mammalia; order Primates; family Hominidae; genus Homo; species Homo sapiens. The sequence goes on along the minus strand of NC_000011.10, from coordinate 98,984,830 downwards.
CACTCTCTCCTGGCCTCTAAGGTTACCACTAAAGAGTCTTCTACCAAGTGTACTGGAGTCCCATTGTATGTTATTTGTTTCTTTTCTCTCACTGCTTTTAGGATTTTTACATTATGCTTGACCTTTGGAAGTTTGATTATTAAATTCTTGAGGTAGTCTTTGGGTTCAATCTACTTGGTGTTCTATAACCTTCGCATACTTATACATTAATATTTTAGTCTAGGTTTGGGAAGTACTCTGTTATTACCCCCTTTAAATAAACTTTTTACCGCTGTCTCTTTCTCTACCTCCTCTTTAAGGCCAATAACTCTTATATTTGCTGTTTTGAGGCGATTTTCTTGATCTTGTAGGTGTGCTTCATTGTTTTTCAAATCTTTTTTATTGTTTCTTCTGACTATGTATTTTCAAATAGCTGGTCTTCAAGCTCACTAATTCTTTTTTCTGCCTGATCAATTCTGCTATTAAAGTACTTTGATGCATTCTTCAGTATGCTAATTGCATTTTTCAGCTCCAGAATTTCTTTTTTTAAAATTAATTTCAATCTCTTTTTTAATCTATTTGATAGAATTATGAATTCCTTCTCTGTGATTCTTGAATTTATTTGATTTTCCTCAACACAGCTATTTTGACGAAGGTCTAATATCCAGAATTTACGAGGAACTTAAATTTACAAGAAAAAAAACAAACAATCCCATCAAAAAGTGGGCAAAGGATATGAACAGACACTTCTCAAAAGAAAACATTTACAGGGCCATTGAACATATGAAAAAAAAGCTCAACATCATTGATTATTAGAAAAAATGCAAATCAAAACCACCGTGAGATACCATCTCATGCCAGTCAGAATGGCGATTATTAAAAAGTCAAGAAACAATAGATGCTGGCGAGGCTGTAGAGAAACAGGAACACTTTTACACTGTTGGTGGGATGGTAAATGAGTTCAACCATTGTGGAAACCGGTATGGCAATTCCTCAGGGATCTAGAACCAGAAGTACCATTTGACTCAGCAATCCCATTACTGGGTATATACTCAGAGAAATATAGATCATTCTATAAAGATACATGCACATGTGTGTTTACTGCAGCACTATTTACAATAGCAAAGATGTGGAACCAACCCAAATGTCCATCAATGGTAGAATGGGAAAAGAAAATGTGGCACATATACATTATGGAATACTATGCAGCCATAAAAACTAATTAAATCATGTCCTTTGCGGGGACATGGATGAAGCTGGAAGCCATCATCCTCAGCAAACTAACACAGAAACAGAAAAGCAAACAACGCATGTTCTCACTCATAAGTGGGAGTTGAACATTGAGAATACATGGACACAGAGAGGGGAACAACATAAACCAGGGTCTGTTGATGGGTGGGGCGTGGGGGGAGATAACTTACAGGATGGCTTAATAGGTGCAGCAGAGCACCATGGCACACGAATACGTACGTAACAAGCTGCACGTTCCACGCACGTATCTCATGGATTTTTTTTTAGAAGAAGAAATAAAGAAAAAAAAGAATATTCTGTTATTTATTTCCAAATGTTTGGATATTTTCCTGTTACCTCCCCTCTGTTAATTTCTAATCTCATCCCACTGTATTTGGATAACACAATCTATATGATTTCAGTTCTTTTAAATTCCTTGAGGTTTGTTTCATGGCTCAGTATATGATCCATCCTTGTTTTTGCTGCTTGAGCTCCTGAAAAGAACATATGTTCTGCTATTTGTTGGATAGAGTGTTCTATAAATTAGTATTTTATTCTGTTGGTTAATGATGGTGCAGAGTTATTCTGAATCACTGCCAGTGTTCTATTTGTTCTATCAATTGTCTAGAGAATGTTTTGTACAACTATAGCTGTGAATTTCACTATTTCTTTCAGTTCTATCAGCTTTCTCTTAATGTATTTTGCAGTGGTGTTGTTTGTTTTATACGTGTTTAGGAATGCAATGTCTTATTGGAGAATTGACCCTACTGTCATTTTATAATGCCCCTCTGTTTAGTATATATTTTTTTACTCTTAAGTCCACTTTTCCTGTTTACTAGAGTCGTCACTCCTACTTTTGTTTGATTATTATTTTCCTGACTTTTTTTGTACCTTTTACTTTATTAAAAAAACTGTTCATATTTTGTAATTGAAGTTAGGTCTTTTTCTAAAAATAATATTCTATGAATTTCTGTGTATTAATTGTTGCAGGTATATTAATATTGAATGTAATTAGTAATATATTAAGGCTTAAGTCTGCCATTTTGTTTTTCTGCTTGTTGATTCTGGTTTCATTTTTCTGATATTCTTTTTCTGCGTTCATATATAGACATTTTTTAGAATACCAGTTTAATTTAATTATAATTTTTAGTGTATCTCTGTTTCTCTTTCTCTCTACACACACTCACACACACACACACACACACACACACACACACACATTAGTGGTTGTTCTTAGTATTACATTATGATTTTTTAAAAGTCTATTGGAGTCCACCAGTTTGAGTGAAGTTTAGAATTATATCTTTCTAAATCCCCTTACCTTACTCCATTTATAATATTCTTATCAAATATTTTCTCTAAATACATTTACCACCACATAACACAGTGCTATAATCTTTCTTCAACCACCAAAAATTAATTAGAAAAATCAAGAGAAAGAAAGCATATTGTTTTTAACCCATATTTTTGCTTGCCATTTTTTTCCCACCTGAGGTTCCCAGGTCCCTTCTCTTATGTATCCTGTTAATACGAATTCCATTAACCATTATTTTAGCATCGTATATTGACTCTAAGGGATTGATTAGAGGCACTGGGCTAGGGGATAAGACCACTGCTTACTCTTGGAAGCTTGTACTCAAGGAAACAAAGAAAACAAATGAGAGCAACAGTGAAGTGTATAGCAACTATGTTAAAGGGGTACTGCTCTGTGAAGTCTACCTCAAGCTCTGCTCTTTAAAATAATTTTAAAAATCTCAGAAAAGGAAGTGAATTACTTTTGCAGTAAAATGAAGCTTATTGCAGAAGAAAAATATGAAATAATTTATTAAATTACTATTTTGTGGTTTTGTTTGCTTGTTTTATTTTGCTCCTTCTCGTTTGAAGAAGATAGCCAACTATGTAATTTCCTTTATTTTAGGATACATCTTATACAATTTTCCTTCATGAAGAATAAATAAGTTCCCTTCTTAACATTTAGGTTCCTGACTCCTTATTAGGAGATTAAGCAGAATTTTCTCAGAAAAGCAAGGAGATCTATGAATACTTAGGGCAACAAAGACACCATGACTGTACTTGGGGAAGAAGTGAATTCCCAATCTGGCAAATATATGGGGTATCTTTAGTCCCAAAATTGGATGTGTCCCACTACTTAGGAGTTCCTAAATGATACGGCAGTACCTCAGAGAAGAATAATTATATGCAGGAGGAACCCGTAACTTGACAATGGTTTACTTCCTGGAAAGCTACAGATCTCACTGTCTCTCAGAAACCATGTTGGCACAGACAAAGAATGTATTGGTATACCTAGTGTAAATGGAAGAGAACTTCATCTGAAGCCTTAAGTTGTGGAAGCCTCTGAAGATGTTTTCAAGACCTAAAAGTGGGAATGCAGGCATCCTGAATGATTTTTTTCTATCCCTATAGAATATGACACAGCGTAGTTTACATTTAATATAAAGCAAATAATTGAATAAAATTCATATTTGTTCATCTAGAAAACAGGAGTGAGAGGTTAAGTAAGCAATTTGTCAGATAGTAGGGAATATTGTAACTAAGCTCATGCCATTCGTAACCTTTGTAGGTATCATAGCTGGCTTGGTGGATAGTGGGAGATTAAGTGAAACATACAACTCTGTAAATTATCATGTGAGGAAACATTTCCTTCTGTCTCTCAGAAGTGAAAATCATTAAGGCAATTTGTTTGTAGCTTATTAGATATTAAGAGTTTTTTTACTAATTTGCAATTGTATGATAGATACTTGAAATAGATTTTGTAACTTGAATTCATTCTAATTATCTGAAAACTACACACACTCTCTCTCTCTCTCTCTCATGATATTCTCCATAGACACCCCTATCCTATACCTTGAGCTAATTCTAAGAATGTCCACCTACCTGTGGAAGCACAGCTACCCCTAATGGCACACAACTATGTGAAAGGTGTGAAAACTTAATTCTTAGTCTCTGATCACTTACTTCATGTGTCACATACAGGCCACAACTGGCACAAGCCTTCCTGGTGGTCCCTGACATCGTCTCCTATGAAATTATATTGAATCGTCAATTTATTTAAATGGTTTCCTTTATTAGAAAGATAAATAATGAGAGTTTATAATGTCACTGAAATAACCTCAGAAAGTTTTATTTTCTGTGATTTCTTTAATACAATTTTGTAAAATGTGAAAAGCTATTCATTCTCGATATACTTCTCTTGCTTCAACCCTAGTACTGTTTGGCTGTTCTGAAGAGCTTTGGTTATACTGATCTTTGGCTATTTCAGCCTCTTAGAAAAACCTGTTAACTTATAAATTTGTACCACTTGGTCATAAAATGTCTTGACACTCAGTAATTGATAAATTTGACAAGTGAGGTATTCTGGAAAAGTATTTTTGAATAGCCAGTTTTGTTAAATTATTTTTTGGCATACTTAATTCCTGTAAACCTTCTCTAGTCACGTTTTCATATACTTAACAATTTTACTTTTCCTCAAATATTTCTTATAAAAATGTTTATTCACAATTAGAATGACTATTGTCTTTGTAGTTTACTCTTATTCTTTAAGTCTCACATTATTATAATTATTTTCATATTCTTTTTTCAAACATAACTAAAAATAATTGTTACAGGTTAATTATTTGCTTTTGTGCTCATATCAGTCCTCAAAATTGGCACTTTTTTAGTTGTTTCAGAATAAAAACATTTAGAATATTTATTCTTTTTAATTTTGAACTTCAATATTACAGTTCAATATTTGTTCCCATTGCTATTTATTCATCTTTTTTGTTACAACTTTTGAGTGTAGTGGAAAATGAAAAAGTCAAAATGGAAAAATTGAAAAGCACCAGAGCAAATGAACACTAAATAATTTCTATAAATATTTGCATACTGAATCTATATAAACAATTGTGCTCCATTAATGTCGGTAATCTGTACTTTAAAAATCTTTTTATTCTATTCTTTTAATTCAGAAGTTTATTATATGTGTTAGAGATGTTTGTTTGCTTTTTAAATATTGTGGTTTTCCTGTCTGTGCTTATTTTTATTAGGGTCTGTAACCCACATGGTAAATTTCAGAAACATGATGCAAAGTTTAGAGCTAGGCATCAGCAAAAATGACATGAGCATCAATACCTCATGGATACTCATACATCAGAAGGGAGTCAGGCATGGTAGTTTTGTCACAGCATGCTGGCTTTCACACAGTGGGGAGGCGTTACAGCACTTAAGAATGAGTGCCAGCTGAAGCAGTGATCGCTGTGGGTGAGCTTAGGAAATTTTATGAGCAGCACAGGCTTCTGCAGTGGGTCTTGCTAAAGGAGGAAACAAGGAAGAAAATAATAGATAGGAAGTGAGCTGACAGAGCTTTTGTAAGATGACAAGAACACCTGAGGACTGCAGGACATAACTTGAAGGGATTAGGGAAGAAAATATTACACAGGATTGAGACTATTTAAATAAAAGGTGGAATAGAGCTTCAGAATGATTATTACATTTGTAATTTTTATAATAACCTCAACCCATTCCCACTTGGTAGGTCTTGAAATATCTGGAGAAATAGCCAAATAAGTGAAACCTACAGTTACAGATGTGTATGTGTGTGTATGTGTGTGTGTGTGTGTGCATGCCAAAGTAAAATTTTCCTCTCTGTGATATTTACACATAAGGAAAATACTTTTGAACAAAATTTAAAAGTACTTAACTGAGTTGGGCTTAGTAAGACTGATAAATTCTAGTCAATGGAAATCTTGAATAAGGGTTGTTCAGGATAAAAAGACAGAATGGCCTGTAATCCAGCACTTTCGGAGTTCGAGGCGGGTGGCTCTTCTGAGGTCAGGAGTTGGAGACCAGCCTGGCCAACATGGTGAAACCCCATCTCTACTAAAAATACAAAAATTAAATGGGCATGGTGGCATGTGCCTGTAAGCCCAGCTACTTGGGAGGCTGAGGCAAGAGAATCGTTTGAACCCGGGAGGCAGAGGTTGCAATGAGCTGAGATCACACCACTGCACTCCAGCATGGGTGACAGAACGAGACTCCACCTCAAAAAACAGAAAAGACAGAACGGTGTTTAGAATATAGATATTTATAATGATACCCTATTTATTAGGTATATCATACACACAGGACATACAAAAAATTACAAAGCATAAGTGAACAGGTTGCAAAATTTGTATATTTTGAATATATTTATATCATCAGTGGTGGGCTAAAAAATAGAGTATTGAAACCTGAGAATCTTCATTGTGGCTTGTTTTACTTACAAAATTAGCACACCAAAGATAATGACTCCCCTAATTTCTTAAACCATAGATTAGTTTTGTCTATTTTTGAACTTTCTATTAATATCTTACAGTGAGTTTTTCAACCTTTCTTATGTTGCTCAATGTATGTTTATTAGATTCATTCATATTATTGCATGTGTAAGTTTTTTTTCTCATTTTGATATTCTTTTGTGGTAGTTTTCTGTTTTATTCTCCTTGATTTCTAAGATTTATTTCTCTCCCATATGTGAATTACTTGTCAGATTTATGTATTGATAATTGTTTTCTTCCTGTCTTGACTATATATTTACTCTAGTAGTAATGGATGTACAAAAGAATTTAATTGTGATGCCATTTAATTTTTTTAATTTTTTTTATTTCAATAGGTTTTTGGGAAACCGGTGGTGTTTGGTTACATGAATAAGTTCTTTAGTGCTGATTTCTGCGATTTTGGTGCACCCATAACCCAAGCAGTATTCACTGTACTCAGTGTGTAGTCTTTTATCCCTCCCCACCCCCTACCATTTCCCCCGAGTTACCAGGTCCAATGTATCATTTTTATGCTTTGTGTGTCATAGCTTAGAGTGAGAACATACAATATTTGGCTTTCCATTCCTGAGCTACCTCACTTAGAATAATAGTTTTTCATTCTATCCAGGTTGTTGTAAAGGCAATTACTTGTTTCCATTTTAGGCTGAGTAGTAGTCAATGATATATATTATATACACCATGTTTTCTTTATCCACTCATCAATTGATGGGCCAGTAGGCTGGTTCCATATTTTTGCAACTATAAATTGTTGCTGCTAAAAACATGCATGTGCAAGTATCTTTTTGGTAAATGAATTCTTTTCCTCTGGGTAGATACTTAGTAGTGGGATTGCTGGATCAGATGGTAGTTCTACTTTTAGCTATTTAAGGAGTCTCCACACTGTTTTCTACAGTGATTGTACTAGTTTACATTCCCACCAACATCTGTTAATTTTTGACTTTTTGGTTATGGCCATTCTTGCAGGAGTGTGGTGGTATTGCATTGTGGTTTTGATTTTTTGCCTATTATTATACCAGTACCATGCTGTTTTTGTGACTATGGCCTTATAATATACTTTAAAGTTGGGTAATGATGTCTTCAAATTTGTTCGTTTTGCAAAATCTTGCTTTGGCTATGTGGGCTGTTTTTTGGATCTATATGAATTTTAGGATTGTTTTTTCCAGTTACATGAAGAATGATGATGATATTTTGATGGGATTGCATTGAATTTGTAGATTGCTTTTGGCAGTATAGTCATTTTCACAATATTGATTCTACCCATCCATGAGCATGGGATATGTTCCCATTTGTTTGTGTCATCAGTGATTTCTTTCAGCAGTGTTTTATAGTTTTCCTTACAGAGGTCTTTCACCTCCTTGGATGGTTATATTCCTGGGTATTTTATTTATTTTGCAGCTATCATGAAAGACCTCCACAAGGAAAACTACAAAAAGGTTGAATTCTTGGTATGATTCTCAGCTTGGTCCCTGTCGGTGTATAGCAGAGCTACTAATTTGTGTACATTCATTTTGTATCCTGAAACTTTGCTGAATTCATTTACCAGTTCTAGAAGCTTTTGGATGTGTCTTAGGGTTTTCCAAGTATACGATCATAATGTCAGCAATACTGTCAGGGCTTTTATGCTACCTCATAACATGGCAGAGAAGGCCAAAGGGCAAGTGGACACATGCAAAAATAAAAAACCCAAGGGGTATCCTGGCTTTATATCAACTCACTCTCACAGAAACTAATCCATTGTCACAGAAACTGACCCAATTTCACTGGAACCAGAACTTACTCACTACAATGAAAAGGTCACCAAGCCATTCATGAGGCATCTGCCCCAGTGACTCAAACACCTCCCACTAACCCCACCTCCCAACAGTGCCATGATGGGGATCAAATTGCAACATGAGTTCTGGTGGTGACAAACCATATGTATCTACCATTTTACTATTTGTTTTGTCATTTACTCCATATCTTTTCTTCTTCTGAATTATTCTTTTTTATTATATGATCAGCTTATTCTGTGTACACTATTTTACTAAGTGATTGCAATAGAAAACTAAACAGATGAGTCTTGACATATTTCAGTCTAACTTAAATTGTTGTTTTAATAATTCCTCAACTTTACTACCTTCCCATTGTGTATATTTTCATGCGTTTACTTTTCTATATACTTAATATTGACCTTATAATTATTATTTCCTGCAGCCAATATCTAATATATTTATCTACATATTTATCTTTTCAGGTATACTGTTTTTTTTCCTGTTTCTTGTGCTTTTGTCTAGAATAATTATCTTTATACCTGAACAACACTCTTTAGTATTTCTTTAAGTGCAGGTGTTTTTCAGTTTTTGCTTGTCTGAAATCATTTTTATTTGGTCTTCTTTAGAATAATATTTTTGCTGGATATAGAATTCTTAGAACTTTGTTTTCTTAGCATTTGCTAATGATGTCCACTGTTTTCTAGTTTCCATGGTTTCTGAGAATAGTCAGCTGTCAGTGATGCTGTTACTCCTTCTAGGGTAATGTGTCATTTTTTGTAGCTGCTATTAAAATATTCTCTTTGTTTTTGGTTTTCTTTTCTTAAAACATGATGTTCCTAAATATGGATTTTTTTATATTCATCCTGCTTTGAGTATACAAAATTTATTGCAACTGTGGCCTGGTGTCAGTATTTGATTTTGGAAAACTCTTGGTCAATAGTTTTTGAAATGTTGCTTTTGCTCCATTCTCTTCTACCTTATAGAACTCCAGTTAAAAATAAGTTAGGGCTTTCCACACTGTTTTATATATCAATTACTGTCATTTCTCTAATATGTACTCTTGTTTTACTATATGCTTCAACATAAAGAATTTCTATTAATCTACCTTTCAGTGTCTTTCAATACACTAATTCTTTTTCTTCCTGCTATGTCTTTTCTGCTTAGAGTCATTTGTTGACATGGGATTTTCAGATTATGGTTTTTTTTCTATTCCTCGAAGATATTAATCACACACGGTTTAAAGTTGTTTCATTATAACTGCAATGTCAGGTTTATCAGTAAGTCTGTTTATATCTGATTCTTCTTTTGAATTTTAGTCTTTTCTCTGGTCTCCTTGCATAACTTATATTTTTATAATAAATTATGATCATTATAGTGAAAAAAATACAGAATTTTATGACTATATTTTTCTCCAGAGATAATCAGCCTTTTCTCTACTCAGGCAGGTAGAGAAGAGACTTATCACCTTTTTAAGTAGAGACTGAGATGGATCCAAGATCATTTGAAAATTCCAAAGCTACCTCTGACCCTGAATTTTCTCCTCCTCATAGTGTACAGCCTTCTACATATTCTGAGAGTCTAGGATAATCACCAGTAGGTTCTCTCCCACTGACAGTTGTTAAAAACTAATTTTTTTCTTCTCAGAATAATGTTATAGGGATTTTTATCTCATATCTCTGTTGATTTTTTTGCCTCTTGGTAGAGGCTCTTGGCCTGAGCTCTTTTTCAAATCTTAAACTTTTTCCCTTTGACCAGAATTGACAGATATCTTGACAGAGAAAGTGTCTGCCAATGTCAGTCAGCTTATGTTCTCAAGTTGTTTCTCCCTTGTCTTGGCTCTTTGTGTCCATTAAATGTTGGTTGCCCTAGCTTCTTTCTAATTATTTCACAAGATTTTTCTTTTTTTTTGCAAAATTTTCATCTTTTTGAGTGGTCTCTGTGTAAGTATTGTTGTCCTACATTCATTATTATGTTTATCAGTTTATTTTATTTTTAATCTTGGTTTTCAGAAAGAAAATTCAGATGATATTTTATATCCCTTACAAAAAGTGGTATACTATTATTACAATTACTATTATAAAATAATAGTTCTTATCATATGTCTATTAAAAATAAAACTGATATTTAACAATCCAGTATATTGTTATTGAGCTGTACAATAACACATTAGTGAAGTTTTCAAGCTGCAACATTTCTTTCTTTTATCATTTTTCAATACTTCTTGTGATTATTGGAGATCAGTAGATTCTTATCCTCATTTAAGAATTAAAATACTATGGAACCATAAAGGAGCCCATATAGCCAAGACACTCCTAAGCAAAAAGAACAAAGCTGGAGGCATAACACTACCTGATTTCAAACTATACTGCAAGTCTACAATGACCAAAACAGCATGGCACTGGTACCAAAACCGATATATAAACCAATGGAACAAAACAGAGGCCTCAGAAATAATGCCACACATCCACAACCATCTGATCTTTGACAAACCTGACAAAAACAAGCAATGGGGAGAGGATTCCCTATTTAATAAATAGTGTTAGGAAAACTGGCCAGCCATATGCAGAAAACTGAAACCGGACCCCTTCTTTACATCTTATACAAAAATTAACTCGAGATGGATTAAAGACTTAAATGTAAAACCTAAAAACATAAAAACGCTAGAAGAAAACCTAGGCAATACCATTCAGGACATAGGCATGAGCAAAGTCTTCATGACTAAAACACCAAAAGCAATGGCAACAAAAGCCAAAATTGACAAATGAGATCTAATTAAACTAAAGAGCTTCTGCACAGCAAAAGAAACTATCATCAGAGCGAACAGGCAAGCTACAGAATGGGAGAAAATTTAGGCAATCTATCCATCTGACAAAGGGTTAATATCCAGAATCTACAAGGAACTTAACCAAATTTACAAGAAAAAAACAAACAACCTCATCAAAAAGTGGATGAAGCAAATAAACAGACACTTCTCAAAAGAAGACATTTATGCAGCCAACAAACATATGAAAAAAAAGCTCATCATCACTGGTCATTAGAGAAATGCAAATCAAAACCACAAAGACATACCATCTCATGCCAGTTAGAATGGCGATCATTAAAAAGTCTGGAAACAACAGACGCTGGAGAGGATGTGGAGAAATAGGAATGCTTTTACACTGTTGGTGGGAGTGTAAATTAGTTCAACCATTGTGGAAGACAGTGTGATGATTCCTCAAGGATCTAGAATAAGAAATACCATTTGACCCAGCAATCCCATTACTGGGTATATACCCAAAGGATTATGAATCATTCTACTATGAAGACACATGCACATGTATGTTTACTGTGGCACTGTTCACAATAGAAAACACTTGGAACTAACCAAAATGCCCATCAATGATAGACTGGATAGAGAAAATGTGGCACATACACGCCATGGAATACTATGCAGCCATAAAAAAGGATGAGTTCATGTCCTTTGCAGGGACATGGATGAAGCTGAAAACCATCATTCTCAGCAAACTAACACAGGAACAGAAAACCAAACACCACATGCTGTCACTTATAAGTGGGAGTTGAACATTGAGAACACATGGACACAGGGAGGGGAACATCACACACCAGGGTCTGTCAGGGGGTGGGGGGCTAGGGGAGGGATAGCATTAGGAGAAATACTTAATGTAGATGACGGGTTGATAGGTGCAGCAACTACCGTGGCATGTATATACCTATGTAACGAACCTTCACGTTCGGCATATGTATCCCAGAACTTGAAACATAATAATTAAAAAAAAGAATTAAGATACTAAGCAAAGCCTCAAATTACCAGTTAACATTATTTCTAATAACAAGAATTTATCTAAAAGCCTATATATGTCTTATGCGTACCCACTTACACAGAGTAAGACATTCCCTTCCAGTAGCAAGAGATGTTCTTTTTTCTCCTTATATGTTTACTGTTGACAAATAAAAATTGTATATGCAGTTATATACCACATAATATTTCAGTCAGTGGTGGACCACATATATGACAGTGGTCCCAGCAGATTATAATGAAATGGATAAATTTATATCACTCAGTGGTGTTGGAACCCTTGTAACACCATAGCTCAACACATCACTCACATGTTTGTGATGACATTGGTGTAAACAAACCTACTGCACTGCCAGTTTTATAAAGTTATAGCACATAAAATTATGTACAGTACATAATACTTGACAATAAATGACTGTTACTGATTTATGTATTTACCATGCTATTTTTAATTATTATTTTAGAGTGTACACTTTCTACTTATTACAAAAATGTTAACTGTAAAATAACCTCAGGTATGTCCTTCAGGAGATATTTCAGAAGACTGCCTTGTTATTATAGGAGATAAAAGCTCCACGTGTGTTATTGCCCCTGAAGACCTTCCATTAAGACAAAGATAGGGAGGTGGAATATAATAACATTGATGATCCTGACGCTGTGTAGGCCTAGGCCAATGTGTGTGCTCGTGTCTTAGTTTTTAACAAAAATCTTAAAAAGTATAAATAAAAAATTAGAAACAGAAATAAGTTTATAGAATAAAGATATATAGAAAAATATTGACTTCTGAGGTTTACAGTTAGAAAATGTTCTCAAAGGTTTATCAGTTATGTATCGATGATCGGTAATCTAGACCCTCTGGAGGCTGTAGAACGTGAAAGGATACAGCTGACAAGTTTTAGGGCACTACTTCTGGAATGAAATCTGCCAAGAAAATGGTTCAAGGGCATAGGGGTTAGAGAATGTTTCTTTTACCTAAAAACGTTAAGCCAACTATGGAAGACTGGGGTCGTGGGGCATGAAATACAAAATTATGATAATTTAGACAGGACTAGGTTTCTTTATGTTCTGTAAGAAGGTTTTCATTAGCTAATTTGTGGAGGGGGGCATGCTGCAGTATTATTTTTCCTAGGAACATGCATTTCTGATGGGAAGTTATTTTGTTTACAAGAGTTAGTTTTACACACAACCCTGAATGAATGTGTCTGTGGCCTAAAAATGGCAGACCTGCATTTCCTGCCAGAGGCAGGCACATTCGTTTCCTGCTTCCTTCTGTCTAAGATTACCTGATGCTGACCAGACTTATTTTTCCATTCCTGAATCTTCACAGATTTCTGGGTTTATGCCACCCATCCAAGACCTTCCCATTTGAATGACTAGATTTCCATTCTATCCCCTGATCATCCTTTTGAAATAGTTCTGGTGAAAAACTCAAAGAAATTCAATATATTGATTGAATTTTATTTTTTCGCTTTGTATCTACAACAAAAATTGATTTGTTCATTTTTATTCCAAATCTCATCTTCATGGCAAGTTGGGCTAATGGACTTTGCCCTCAAGAAAGGTTTGTTTACCAGTTTTGTAGCCATGTTTGGCAAATCTTAGCAAATAGAAACCCCGTCTTTTCTTTTCCCTCTTTATATGTTCTTGCAATTACTCTTGTATTGTAAGATTTTCTGACTTCTTTAAGCTTTGAGATTATTGCATCTTAAAAGAAGAACTAGGCTGACTGGCAAAAAGTCTTGCCGGTGGCCCTGTCACTTCCATGATGCTTTGGTTTTGAGAGTTGGGAAAACTCTTAGAACTTAAGGGAACCAAACTCAGGAATTCCCAAATCGGTGGCATTGTGCCATTCGTTTAGGGGCTGAACAAAGGACCTGTCTGAAACTGAGTGAACTACATGCGTTTGGGTTTGAATTTTTGTCACATACTGAAATGTAAGTGAGCCCTAAATAATCAAAACACTTCATTTTTTCTTTTTTTATAGGAACTTTCAGAAGAAAAAGTAGTGCATAAAACATTTGATATTTAAGACAATAAAGTTTTTATCATAAGAAAAGAAAGAAAACAATATTTTTGTACAACTGTAAAATGTGTTTGTGTTTTAAGTGTTATTGCAAAAGAGTAAAAGAGTTAAACAATTTAAAAGCTTATAAAGTAAAAATACTATAGTAAGCCAAAGCTAATTTATTATTGAAAAAAGAAGTTTTTAATAAATTTAGTGTAGCCTAAGGGTTTATAAAGTTTATAAAGTCTATAGTAGGTTACTGTAATGTCCTATAGTAATGTGAAGTAGGCCTTCACACTCGTTCACTTACTCACCCAATGCAACTTCCAATCCTGCAAGCTCCATTCATGGAAAGTGCCCTGTAAGATTATACCATTTTCTATATTTTATATCATATTTTACTGTACCTTTTCTGTGTTTAAATGTATTTACATACGTAAATACCTACAAGTGTGTTACAACTGCTTATAGTAACATGCTCTACAGGTTTGTAGCCTAGGAGCAATACCCCACAGCCTAGGAGTGTATCATATAGTCAGGTGTATAGTAGGCTCTACCGTCTAGGTTTGTGTAAGTATACTCTGTGATGGTTGTACAATGACAAAATTGTGTGACAATGCATTTCTCAGAGATTACCCTGTTAAACAACACAAAATTGTATTTATCTTGTATGTGATGATCTGAAATAGTTATATACATTGCAGAATGGCTAAATTGAGCTAAATAACATATGCATTACTTCACATATTTAACATTTTTGTGTATGTGTTGGGAGCATTTAAAAATCTAATATCTGCAAGATTTAAAAAACTACAATATATCATTATTTTCATTTACTGTTGAAAATTTGAATTTGAAACATAAATACTCAATGTAGATTTTTATGTATGGTGATTGCATTTAGTTCTCAGGCATTATTTTAATGCCAACTCAATTTCTTTTTCGTATCCAGCTCCTAGATACCATAATTCATTGGCTATTTATAGAGAGCCTAGTATGTGTATAGCATCTATGCAAATTACAATATATTTAAAAACAAGAGAGCTTTTCTTTTGTCCATATGTTATATTAATAAAAAATTTAGCCATATAAAGATGTAAGGGTTACAATTCTGTCTTATTTTAAGTAATAGAATTCAAATGGCTGCTTTTAAACACTATCGCCACTTTGGATGATGGATTCTAATAGATACAATATTTGGAGTTTGCTATTCAAATAATGTGATACAATGTTTTACCTTTTATATTATTGACATTCTAACCATCAAATTTTGTTTCATTTTTGTATAGATTCTAGAAGTGATTAAAATATCCTTCTTTAAGAAAGTTACAATGATCATGTTTCAATTAAACATTGTCAAAGTGTTACACATACAATTAATAACATATACTTCATAAGTTATATGTGTATGTTTATATAAGTAATAAATGCTTATGTAAGTGATAAATGTATACACTGATATAACTTAATATAACTATGGTTTATAACTAATAGCTATATCTTATTGAATTTTTTATCCCATTATCAATATATTATTTGGATATACGTGCTATTAAACATTTTTAGTGAATGAATACATTAATTGTATATATTTATTGAGATTGTACATATCAAATTTAGATTTTTCTAAATTCTTTTTCTATTTTTATTTTTTCTATTTTTATACTTTTTTCTAATTCCTATTCTAAGATATACATTTTACATAAAATATCATAATAAGGAATATCCAAAAAGAACTACTTTACTATAGAAATATCAGAGCAAATATTGTTATGTCTCACATAATTTAACCTTTGCCTATAAGATTGTGTTGCTAGGTGTTGATCAGAATAATCACATTTGCTAAAATGGACGAACTAGATTACCTAAAAACTACAAAAAGAATTTTCTCAAAATGAAGTGCTCCACGTATATTTCATAATGAATTAAGAAAACAAGATGAAAGAAAGTAAAATATGTCAATAATCATCCTCATAAGAAGCCTTTCTTTAATTAAAAAATACAAATTATTTGCATTATAAAGTTCTTATAAATGATGATGAGATGCTAAAAGATCATAGAATCAGGTAATAGAGGATCAATATATGTTTATTACGAGCCTTTTTTCATCAGCCACTCTACTACATGCTGGAGATTGAACAGGGACCATGTAAGTACATTAATTGGGTCAAAGATAAATTCAAGGAGCTATCAATATCAAATCAATAAACAAATATTAAATAAATAAGAAATTCAAGGAAAAAGGTAAATTACTTGTGGTTAGACAGCAAAGTGAGATGTACAAAGTTCTGGGGAAAATAATTTTCTATCTATAAATGTATATTCAGTTGAATTATCCAAAAATATGGAGGCCATATAAAATTATTTTTATATTTACAAAACTCAAATTTTATTTTCCATAAAATATTTTTAGGAACTTCTTAGAAAATGTACCTTAATAAAACAAGTGATTATACTAAAAAAGAGAAAGTTTCTGAATTCAAGTCTAATCCTGGATCAGTTAAGGGAAGACAACAGTGTATCTGATCTAGTAAAAAAAAAAAAAAAATGGAAACTCCATAAAAAACAAATAGAAAAAGGATGGTACCAAAAATGAGAAAAAAAAAAGCTATAATGTGCATTATTTTGTGCAATTTGTATAGTGTAATTATAAACAAGAAGGCTTTTGAACTGGAGACAGTCACCTTTATTTGGCATAATTGTAATGTCTGGATGTCTAGAGAAGGAAATGTTATCACGTTGTATGCAATGAGTTAGCCAAACTGCAAAGTCAGAGGGAATAGTCCTCAGGATATCGCCCTTTCGTTAGTCAGTAACCACAATTTTAGGGTACCCAGAATACCCTCACTTCACCCTGGCTAAAATTTGGGGGATCCACATGGCTACCTCCAGGTTCAATAATTCACTGGAATGATTCTCAGAGCTCAGGAATGTTCTATACTTACTCCTAGAGTTGTTAGAATACTGAAATTATTCCCGGCTAAAACGGTGAAACCCCGTCTCTACTAAAAATACAAAAAATTAGCCGGGCGTAGTGGCGGGCGCCTGTAGTCCCAGCTACTTGGGAGGCTGAGGCAGGAGAATAGCGTGAACCCGGGAGGCGGAGCTTGCAGTGAGCCGAGATTGCGCCACTGCACTCCAGCCTGGGCGACAGAGCGAGACTCCGTCTCAAAAAAAAAAAAAAAAAAAAAAAAAAGAATACTGAAATTATTCTAACAGTATTTAGAATTTATCAGTATTCTATACTGATAAATTAGTACTTATCAGTATTGCATACTGAATACTGATAAATTAAAATCAGCAAAGGGAGGCATCCGTAGGGTAGGGCCTTGGAGGTCCAAGTGTGGAGTTTCTGACCAGCATCTTCCTGTGGAGATAAAGACAGCATTACCTCTTCTGGGCTATTATTTGTGATAATATGCAGATAGTATTGACAAACAAGGAAGCTCACCCAATCCTTTGGTGTTCGGAGTTTTCATTAAGGCATGAACACATACTGCCTATGTGGTTGACCTTTAGTCTCTAGCCCTTCCTGGAATTCAGTCTAATGACGTCAGTCTCTAGGTTCTTAGGAGGTTGGAAGTGATATGGTACGTCCCAAAGCCTCCATTACAAACCACATTGTTGGACTGTCCAGTGAACAGTCTCTAGGCAAATAAAGACTCTCCTATCAGGCATGACCTCCAAGGGTCCTAGAGATCACAGTTACTGAAAGTGAAGCAATTGAAGGTGAAAGCCCGTCCTTTCTCTTTGAGTAAAGTTCATTTTTCCCTACACAGAATATCACTTGACTTCTTACTGCAAACAGTTACAGAATCACAATAATAATTTTTATTGGCTTTTAACTTACAAACAACAGCTACAAAACCAACAAAACAGAGAGTCAAAAAAATAGTGTCTAACATTTTGGAAAAAGAAATAGAAGTTCTAGTATATTGTTTGAAAATGCAGATTTGACCAGTGGAAAGACAGGAATAATTATATAACTGCATTGAGAGATGGTATAAAGGAGGTGAGGTTATGGCAAGGTAACTAGCTCTATGTATTTCTGATAATGGAGTGAATATATAATGTTTTCACAATAAAATTCTAAAAATCCAAGTTTAATTAATTGTAACCTAGAGTTAATAGAAAAAAATAACAAAAATGATTTTTTGTCATTAGAAATTAGATTTGGGAGTCTTTTTTTAAAGCTTATCTGTACTGTCAAATGCTTTTAACATTATGTATATTATATATATTCATTATATATAATAAATTTTAAAAGTTTAGTGAGTATTTTAAAAAATACTACACAGGGATAAAGTGTTGTTTAACATAAAGTAGCATAACATAACATAGAATAAAATACAAGAACTATATTTAAAGACCATGATATTACCCTCACAACTGGTCCAATTGATTCTTTTATAGCCGTTCTCATCATATTTTTGGCTTATTACAAGAAAGCCAATATTTTCCTGGGTGATTTATTCCTGAGATAGCCCAGAAGAACTATCCTAGCACAAAGATAAAAGAGGCAAATTAAAAAAAAATTGGAAAGACAGTTGAAGTGGTTTGGCATTATGATTATGCAGATTTAATCCCAATTTAAGGAAATTCAGGGAAAATATTCTTGCAAAATTAGAATTTCATAACTATAGTAGAAATAAGAAAAAATTACAACAAAAATTAAGTAGAAGAAAATTTAAGTTCCTTGCTTAGGTAGACTTAGCCAAACCACTGAAGATATAATGGTTGCTAAATTGACAAGTGTGACAAAATAAACTTTGGAAAATATTTCAGACAGGTTGTCATCAGTATTAGTCATTTTGAAGAATAGACTATTAAGAGTTGAAATATTGTATTACATAGTTTCTATTCTCCATGTAATAAATACATGAAGTCAGGAAATCAGAAGTAATATAAAATATCACATTGGATAGCACCATTAAAAACACATATTTACCTGTAGATGGACTAATTAGATCCTGAGTACCTAAGGGTTAGATCTCCAAAAGCACGTGTTATAAAGAGCATTTTATCCTCTCAGTTAAAGCAGAATAGCCATTTCCTCTTAAAGAGGACACTGTAAAACTTGTAAACACTTATTTCTAGATTTACCTTTGAATGTTGTCAGCCTAATCAAACATTCTTTGCAGAGTTTCACTTTTAAAGTTGAAAACAACCACATCCTTGAGGTTCTGTTCAGAACAGAGGCAGAAATCTATAAAGGTTGTGAGTGCATTTGCAGTTACTTTCCCTAGGCCCTAAACACAAATGTGTTTAGCTAAGTCCTAAAGACAGCTTGAGTACTTCCTTTAAAAATGTTAGTTTTTTAAAAAAACACTGATTTTTCAGAATCTAGGAAGCAACACAGAAAGTTGGAGAAAGAACTCCTTAGATAAATAAAGGCAGTATGCTCATAAGCAGACAAGATCTTTTTGCTAAATAGAATTCCTGAATTTGCTACCCTATGTTACTAAACCTTAAGTGAAAAAATATCTTGGTGTTATCTTCCATTGCTTTAATGATACTAAGACTAAATTTTTTGAAAAGTAATTATTTTATGTTATAATAACACTTTCAGGTCTAGGAAAGAAAAAAAGTATGTGATACATATTGGTTAAATGCCTCCTCTTGCTTTTTCACAGATAACCATATTCTATATTCCCACTTGGATGACAATGGCCCTCTACTCAACCTGATTTGTTTGAAATTTCCAGCTATGATCTTACATCTTCTTAAATCAAATCCTCAATTTTCTACGGCCCTGTCCCTGTCTCTCTCTGTCTCTGTCTGTCTGTCTCTCTCTCTCTCTCTCTGTCTGATGCAGAGAGAGAAAGAAAGGGATCAGGCGGAAAGGGAGAATTAAGAAGTCAGAGAGAATGAACTGATGCCGCTGAGTCATGGGTTTGAATGCTTGCTTAGCAACCAAATTGCCATTTGACCTTGGCAAATTATTATTTATTTATTCATCAAATAGTTCAATACTCATAGACTCCTGTCCAGGTGCCAGTCACTGTATTAGAAGATAGAGACATATAAAAGAATCTGTCAATCAGTTTTCTGCTGCCTGAGGTTTATGATACACTTTGATCATATCAATATTCTGAGCAAATTTCTTCATCTTGGAAAAGATGATTTTATGCCTAAATATATTAAAATGTATCCGTTAACTTTTTAGTCATTAGATATGATCCTTGTTCTTTGATAAGAATTTTACTGACATTATGCCAGTAGCTCAATAAAATGTATATTATTATTCCCATTTTACAAGATAATAAAATTGAGCTTCCAAGTGCTTAATAAACTCACTAGAATACAACACTGTGTAACAAGCTGAAATCATCTTGGATCCCGTCATTCCCAAGTCATTCTGATGTTTGCAAGTTTTATCTCTGGTGCTAGAGTTCCTTTGCTCAGTCTTTTACTGTGAATTTCTGTGCTCGTCGCCCACTCTCCTTTCCTAATGTTTGAAACATCTTCAATTGTCACTGTTCTCTATTCCAGTTTAAACTTGCTTTCTAGAATAATTCAATGTTGAATATTTAGAAACAAAAACTTGGGAGTTGAAATATATTGAGTTAATATTAATTATTAGTTATATTTTTTTCAATGCAAAACAGACCTAGAATGGTTGGCTATGTTGACAATTCATCTATAATAATAATATTAGCATTTGCTTCTATATCTTAAATTATGAAATACAAATTTTGTACATCATTAAACAATATCAGCTTTCAGTGGGCATTCAACAAATATTTTGGGTGATGGAGCTTCCTAGTATCCTCAAAAAATGAGTATAAAATTGCCAGTACAGGCATGTATCTAAGTAGAATAAACAAAACTCTTATTTATTCCATCCTTTATACTAAATGTAATTATCAGGATTTTAAAAGGAAGTGATATTATCTTACAAGGAGATTTATTTTTTAGACATTGTACTCACAATATCTGTGGCGGATAATGAGTGTGGAAAATTATGTTACAGCTACTCCAAATGCTAGAGAAATAACGGCCTCATTAGGCTGTATTTGTTTCTATTTTAGCGATAATAATGGTACATGTATGAGAAAATAAAACCTTGTAATACACCAAAGGTGCATGCTGAGTTATA
Source organism: Homo sapiens (assembly GCF_000001405.40). Classification (NCBI taxonomy): domain Eukaryota; kingdom Metazoa; phylum Chordata; class Mammalia; order Primates; family Hominidae; genus Homo; species Homo sapiens. Next base: position 98,963,658 of record NC_000011.10, on the reverse strand, counting down.
GCTCTATCTTTTCAAATGTGTAGCTCAGTGAAGAAAGAATCCATGTTATATATTTACTCCTAGACTTGTTCTCAGCAGCAAAGTCTATGTCTGGTGTTAGAAAGAGAATTGCACATAAACATTATTAAGTATTTGCAGCAAAAGACATTTCTTAGTTTCTCCTTTCCTGTAATGTCTTTCTCTACCTTTCTATTTTATCAAAACTAAACTATCAGTATCTTTCCTAACACATTTTTAGATAATAAAGAAAATTGCTACTTTTCATGTCCTAGCAGTTTTTACTTTTCTTAGTTTCATTTTTAGGGACATAGGAGAAGTTTATTGTCTAGCTGTCCACTTTCATTGTTGTTGATGTTAAAATTATTTTCTGTTTTTTATATTTCTTGAATGCCTGCAAATTACTGAGCGTTACAGAGAATCCACGCAAGGCTCAATTGCTGTTGTCTGAGAATTACCTTTGTTAGGAAGGCAGTGAATTAACACCATGGTGTCTGACCCAAGTTATGATATTGAATTATCCAAGAATATATTGTTAATTAATGTTTTATCCCTATAGTTAATGCCACATAAATATTCAGTTTATTCCTTCATTCATATCAATATGTTATTCTCCATGAAAAAAAAAAATAAAGGATGCCTCAGAGAGCAGAACCAAGAGAACAGAGCACAAAGCCAGAATTCATGAGAACTCATCTAGGAACATTTAACAAGTCAGTCTGAATTTCAGAATTACTATTGTCAATGATTTTTGTCTCTCATGCTCCCTATTTTTGAACATAAATGTCAATAATGATTGTCCTATGCCACCATTGTGTTTTGCATGTATAGCCGTAAATAACTATCTTTTTTATTTCATAGGTGTTCAGCTTAAGAGGAATGGTACTCAAGGTGCTACATTTAAAGAACTACACCTGAGGAACTTCATCCAGATCTCAACATGATTTAAATGATGACACTCAGGATTTCAACTAAATATTGTGATTGATGGGGCTTTTGTGACCTTTTCTAGGGATGAAAGTATTTTAATTGTGGGAAAAATGTATATGCTATATGTTCAGAGTGTAGAGTGTGTTTGTTTAAAAAAATTTCTACGAAGTTTTTGATATTCTTCCCCTCAAAAGGTGGAAGAATTATTAATTCTTAATTTCTGTTATCTGGCTTCTTAATTATGAAGCATTTAAAGAATTGCTTCATAATACAGTATAGATGACACAATATTACAAACTTAAACATCATATTAATAACAACATTAAACTATATCAATAATTATATGTAAAGTAACTAATAACTCCAATTAGTCATCAGTAAAATGAAAGCTGAAATCACTTCATCCCAATAAAATGGTTAAAATTCAAAAGACTGGAAATACTAAAATTCAAAGACTAATTACATGTCACATTTGAGACTAGATTACAAAATGACTACTATTTTTATCATTCTGTGTGTGTGTGTGTGTGTGTGTGTGTGTGTGTGTGTTTATGTGTCTATCTCCTTCTTTCCTGTATTACTCATTGTAGGGGAAGCTGTTTTGAAGAGCCTATAGAACTGAATCCTTAGGCTGAGAGAAAAGTGAATGTGTTTGAAAGTATATTCCAGTTTTGTTTTTAATTTCTCTTGGGTAAACACCTTGGATAAGAATTATTGGATTGTATGGTAAATGCATGTTTAACATTACGAGAAACTGTCAAATTGTTTTCCAAAAGAGTTAGATCATTGTATGCTCCCAGTGACAATGAATGGGAGTTGCATTTGCTCCCCATCCTCACGATCACTTTGTATTTCTGGTCTTTTGTTTCTTTTGTTTCTTAACCCATTCAACTGGGGATGAGGTAGTTTCAACTTGCACATCTCTGATGACTCATTGGAGCAACTACCCAATAGTAATCATTACTTATTTATATGATTTAATGTAATTATTGATGTTGTGTTTAGACATGTCATCTTCCTATTTGTACCTTTTGCTTATTTGCTGCTCTGTTGCTCTTTTCCTGTCTGCATTTGGGGAAATCAAATATACACCAGTGCCCCACTCTATTTGTAACATTGACGATTACAGACCCACATGCACACAAATCTCCACATGCATGATATTCTCAGATCTTTAAGTTAGTATTTTTCATCAAAATTAGAAATTTTTGACCATAATTTCTTTAAATATTTTTTCTGCTAACATTGTACTTTCTTCTCTTACTGATACTTCAGTTACATATATGTTGGATTGTATGATGTTGTGATACTGGCCTCTGAGACTCTGTTTATTTTTAATTAATATTTCCCCTTCTATCTTTTTCAGACTGGAATATTATTTTCTAAGTTATTTGGTAAATACCTTTTTTTACTATCTCCTTTTTGCTGCTAAATCCATTCAGTGCCTATTTTCATTTTCATTAATCTACCTTTCAGTTTTAGAGTTCTCATTTATTCTTTTATCTCTGTTGTTATTTCATTCCTGCCTTCATATTACCATCATATTTAACTTATTTAAAAGTAATTATTATAACTACCTTAAAGTCTTCATATTTTAGGTTCAGCATCTCTTTCATCTGTAGTTTGCTTTTTCTGTTTTCCCATTCTTTGTTATGGATTTTTTAAAACAAAAATCATTAATATGGTGATTTTGTATTAAATACCAGACACATGAACAATGCCTTGTGCAGGCTAGGGGTTTTTCTTCCTTCAAAGAGTTTTCAATTTTAACACTGGTTGACCACCTTGAACTTTTCAAATTACTGGTCAAACTTGTCTTGGCTCAGGCAATGCTGTATTAAGTGTAAATCTAGGAAAGCTCAAAGCATTTCCTAGGCCCCTAACTCAGTATCCAAATCCTGTGTCCTCTAACAATCTTGTTAGGCTTGCTTTTGGACTTTGTTAATGAGACTTGAGGAAGTCTCATAGAATATGAATAGACAGAGGCTCTCTGTCTAGATTCATTAGCAGTTTCACAGTGATGTTATTCTAATTTTGTCATTCTTTTCTGGTTCTACAAAAGAAACTTTCCCGATCTACTATTTTAATACTCATTAGTATTGCTTGTATAGAAAACACATGATAAATGCTTCAATCTTCCCCTTTATTTGCCCATTTTTTTTTTTCCAAATAATGAGTTTGTTCACAATCTCCAACCATTCCTAAATGTTCTTTCTGAGCAGCATCATACTCTTCTGATACCAGTTATTCCAGAGAACTCTCTTAGGATCTCTCAATTTTTTTTCAGGGAAGTCATTATAATGGTGGGAAATCTTTTCTGCTCTGGCTGTTTTCTGAACCTCAGTCTACCCTTTAAATGTTTTGATATCAAGGGGAAACTGAGAAGACTCAAATTTATATCTTGTCTCACTTTCGTACTCTATTTCTGGCTTCCATTCGAATCTACATCCTCATCCCTATCCTGGTCTTCATCCACATTATTGCAAAGAGAATAGTCCTTATGCTGGCTGTCAGTTTCGCTAAATCTATAACCCTGCTGATATTTATAAAATGTAAGTTTAACAATATCATATCTTTCTTTATATTAAAATGGGAATTTGGGAAATTTAGAAAACTCCTTTTTTAAAAATAAAAAAATAAAGCTTGGATTTTGAGATTATGCCTTTGAAGACAAATCGACTTTAAATTACAAAGAAAATAATCCTCTTTATCAACTCAGTGGTTGGGATATTATAGACCAAAATGACTGATAGGGAGGGTATAAATATATTTATGAAATAAAAAATATTATGGCCATTATACTGAACTAAGAATCTTATTATATATGCTTTAATCTTCTACAGATTTGATGTACTACTAAGTTGTTTTTAGTGATAACTGCATGGTAGCATGGAAATAAGAACTTAGTAAGAAATCAGGAGATTCAGGTTTTAGTCATGGTTTGTTCCTAGCCCTGCCACTACACTTTGTTGTATATATACTTAACATATGTCTAAGGTAAGTGCATATTAGTGCATATTGTTTCATTTCTTTTTCTGTGATGTCCTATTTATTTATTTATTTATTTATTTTTTGAGACGAAGTCTCGCTCTGTCGCCCAGGCTGGAGTGCAGTGGCGCGATCTCGGCTCACTGCAAGCGCCGCCTCCTGGGTTCACACCATTCTCCTGCCTCCACTTCCCAAGTAGCTGGGACTACAGGCGCCCGCCACCACACCTGGCTAATTTTTTGTTGTATTTTTTAGTAGAGACGGGGTTTCACCGTGTTAGCCAGGATGGTCTCGATCTCTTGACCTTGTGATCCACCCGCCTTGTCCTCTCAAAGTGCTGGGATTACAGGCATGAGCCACCGCGCCCGGCCCTGTGATGTCATTTCTATATGTGAATAGATGTTACTTGTAACAGATAAGCTCCACGATCTACTCTCTAAATTTTTGATTCTATAAGCACAGGACAGATGGATTATGATTTTTGTTTTGGGAGCTCTAATATGAGCTCCACTATCTGTCTACTCTTGTTGAATTTATATTCAGAGTTTGTGTTTCCTTGTGTTTTTAGTCACAGCCTGAAACAGATTGTTCCTTTTATTCTAAATTTACATGCTTTTAAAGAATGTGAAGAGCTAGGAGGCACTGTAACTGCATACTTCTCTTTTATTAAAACTCTTTCAAAAACCATAATAACTTATATACAGACATAGTTCGTGGACTTTACTTTTACTTATTGAAGATCACATCATAGTCTTCCTGATCAAGGAAGCATTAAAATAACTTTTATGTATCTGTGATTAAAATGTTTTTGAACCTCATCATGTATCCATAGGTGATATGGTTTGGCTCTGTGTCCCCACCCAAATCTCACGTTGAATCATAATAATCCCCATGTGTCAATGGAGGGACCAGGTGGAAGTAACTGGATTATGGGGGTGGTTTCCCCCATGCTGTTCTCATAATAGTGAGTGAGTTTTCACGAGATCTGATGGTTTTATAAGCATCTGGCATTTCCGCTGCTGGCACTCATTCTCTTTCCTGCTGCCCTGGGCCTTCTGCCATGATTGTAAGTTTCCTGAGGCCTTCCTAGCCATGTGGAACATGAGTCAATTAAATCTCTTTTCTTTATAAATTACCCACTCTTGGGTTTTTCTTCCTAGCATCATGAGAACAGACTAATACAATAGAAGTAATTCATTTTCAAAATATATTCCTTTTATGTATTTCTTCAAAATAGCCTATTTTATTAAAATTCTCTCATGTTTCATGGATTCGACTATTACCTCATAGGAATTTATTTATTTATGCTTTTTTCTTGAATGTTCTATTTTTATTTCTGTTTTAGTTTCACTTAAATACAATAGTATTTAAAAACTTGGGGGTTTTTTTTGTAAGTCTTTAAGTGTGTGGCTATTAGATAAACCTAAATATTAATGTAGATAATTCTGATGTTTAAAAATCTCATAAAATTCCAGAACTTCATTTCACTTCTGAAATGTTTTAAGTTACAAATCAGTACTTGTTATTGCAGTTTCAATGGCATCTATGATCTTCTCCTTGCTCATGGAAATGCTAGGAGACCAATGAAAGTGAATTAAGTGCACCAAGGTGGGCGGATCACGAGGTCAGGAGTATGAGACCAGCCTGACCAACACGATGAAATCTTGTCTCTACTAAAAATACAAAAATTAGCCAGGTGTGGTGGGGAACGCCTGTAATCCCAGCTACTCAGGAGGCTGAGGCAGGAGAATCATTTGAAGCCAAGAGGCAGAGTTTGAGGCGAGCCAAGATCGTGCCACTACACTCTAGCCTGGGCGACAGAGCGAGACTCCATCTCAGAAAAAAAAAAAAAAAGTGAATTAAGTAAATAAAGAAGAAATTCTGAAGGAAGCAACTATCAAAAAATAATTCTTAAGAATCCTCAAGTTTTTAATGTCTCATGACAGCAACAACAAAATGCAGACTACAATAAAGGGAAACTGCAGTCACACCTGTGGTAGCAGGGACAGCATAGAGAGTGTGTAAGATAGATAGATGGCCTTCAACTAAACAGACCTTCAAATGAGCCCAAAATTAACAGCTAGGTGTGGTACTAAATCATCTCCTTTAACCTTAGAACCATTACTTTAATTCTAAATACATGATTCTTAAAAGGTACATAATTAAAATTTTAGAAATGGAATGAATATTCTAAACTGCAGTTAAAAACAAATTTATGTCTTTGCCAGGATATCCAGGGAACACCTGTTGTTCCTAAATGTGAACATTTCCATACAACTTAGCTCAAGAAAAGACAGATAAGCAGTTAATCTGCTCTCTAACCTCCTGAATTACTTCTTGATTAGAAGAGAAAATGACTAGAGCATTATTTGATGAATACTCTTTGCTTTCCTGAATCCACTTTTGATGTTACATTTCTAGAGAGTCTAATGCATTGCATTACTTCTAAAAATTTCATTCATACAACATAACACATATGATGAATATTTTCACCATGCATAAAATGCATTCCTAATAGAAGACCAATATATTTTATATGAATCTTAAATAGCCTTTATTAAAGGGTAATAATCTTTCTGGATAGTATGAGAATAAATTTCTATAATGTAAATTTTTATTTTATATTTTTAAAATTCACTTAGCATATTTAAATATTCACTCTCGAGTTAATACACATATTGTTTATCTTTAAGTACAAATGATAAACATTGATTTTGTTTTCTATTCTATATATATAATGAGCAGGGAAGTTGAATATGGAAAAATGTAGAAGCTATGTATGTGAAAATGTCTTCAAATTATGGTATCAGATTATGTACGGGTTTGAAAAATTAAGATGATGCCCACATGAAGGAACACACTTTCAGAGCAGAATTAAGTATATACAATATCAGGCCATGATAAACTAGAGTAATCTCTCCCGTGAAGTAGTTCCATTTTATCACTGTGGAATGAAAAACCAATTTTCATAGCTATAATTCCAAATATACTTTAGTCTTAATTAGCCTTTGCATGTGATGATTTATCTTAGATGAGGAAAGCTAACCTCAAGTTCTTCTCCTGGCAGCTTTCCTTTCATGTGATATTGGTGCAGGAGCGTCCTGATGATCTGCTGAGTCATTGGATACGGAAAACACACACACACACACACACACACACACACACACACACACACACACACAAGGCTTGGAACAAGAAACATCCTGCAATGGTGAGCAGAACACTGATGGGTGAATAGCAAGCTGGAGGGGAGGACTTTAGAAAAAGAAAAGGAAAATCTCAAACTAATAATAATGTATTTCAGTGTTTTGCAGACTTAGGAAACATTTTCTCTACCTAAAGCATCACAAGTTATTAAATTCTTTTTGTCCTCAATAGTCAAGATGATTTTATTGGTGTTTTACTTTCATGCTATTTGTACTATGAAAGCCCCATGTATTTTTTTCCAAATAGAAATTTATATTAAAATATTAAACCTGTTATTTCAAATTACACTGATCCAGATTTGGATGACTTGTCTCATCTTTTCTGCTTGAAGGATCAGGATGCAAGTATCTACTTTTTTTTTTTTTTAATTGCACATTAGCTAGAAGAGGGATCAAGCCTACGTTTGACATGCCTGCAAGAAACACTTAAATCCTATGGGAAGGAAGGAAGGATGGAAGGACAGAAGGAAGGAAGGGAGGAAGGGAGGGAGGGAGGAAAAAAGGAAGGGAGGGAGGAAGGAAGGGAGGGAGGGAGGAAGGGAGGGAGGGAGGGAGGCAGGGAGGGAGGGAAAGGAATGAAGGGGGAAAGGAAGGGAGGGAAGTAGAGAGGAAGGGCTTTCTGTGCTTGCTTTTACTGAAGTTCAGTAAGGTGCTATTCAGCTACCTGGGAGATAACACTTGTGAATTGGGATAAAAAGGTAATAAACCAGTGTTTCCTAAGAAAGAGGCTCTGAGCCATAGAAATAAGATATTTGACATTATATATGATCACTTCTCAACTCTGCTGAAAAGTAGCAAATGAGTCACAAGCACGTCAGGGAAGAATCATGTAATAGAAAGACCCTCAGGCAAAATGAATATTTCTTACAGGAATTCAACTTCCAAATCTTTGTATTGAATTTAATGGTAAACCTTATTGTTTTTAATAAAATAGGGGACATTTTATTTGTAATGCTATATTTTGTAGTAATAGAGTGATTTTGATTTTTTTAAAGTTTGTAGGTTTTATTATTAACCAAAGAAACATTGTTGTTTTCTGGTATTATTGCCATCCAATGGAAATATGTACTATAGATTTTTAAAATTAACATCGGAAAAACCACAATTAATAAACATGTGCTATACTTTTAATATAGATCCATTCTCATGGGATTCATTAAGAAAAGGGCATGGCATATATATTGTATATCTCCTAAAACATTGAAGTACTCCTTCATTCTGGAGTTAAGTTTATTAATAGGTTTAAATCAATTAAAATCAAACTAATAGTCAAGGATCTAGAAATCAGTTCTTGAAATACTAGCTTGAATATGACTTTTTAAAATATCCTGTGTGCTTTTGAAAACCATTATTAGCACAGTATATTGTGCCTAAATATATTGCAATACCTGCTTCTTAACCTCTGTGGATATGATTACCACAAATAACGCATCATCAGTAGCAGATTTTAGAAATAAAGCTCTGATGCCTTCATATGACTATATTGCTATTAGCTCATTTTTCACAGGCTGAGAGACACAGGTTGCTTAAGTAAAAATCAGCCTTATTGAGGCATAGCTGCATTTCTGTCAGAGAGAAAGCTGGTGGAAAGATTTAACAGCTGTATAAATAAGATATACTCTAGGAGTTATGATTCTTTTTATTTTTCACACAAACTCCTTCAAGAAATATGTATATCTCTTTTTTATTAGTGTATAAGAGAAAAAAAACTATTTCCCTTAGAAAATCCACTGTCACATATATTGGTATTTTTACTACGTTAATAAAACCCTAGGGATTTGCTTTAAAGGACATCACATTATAGCTTTTCCTTTGAGAAAATGCAACAGTGAGCTTTAGTTAAACAAAGAATTATGCCTCTTCATTTCAAATGAATTTAGTTTAAATATAGTAATTTGAAATATAAGTTTAGGCAGAATTTTAATTAGCTTGTAAGCCCCGGGATGTACTTCTTGGTAACACTGAGTTTTTAGGGTCTCTACTTTCAGACACACTCAGTATTAATTTTAGCATGATAAGCAGCCTTGTCTTTCATACATTTTGAAGTCAAAGAAATAAAATCCTTGTTGAATCTCTCCATTTTATATTAACTCTTCGTTAACTGGACATTATCATCTGATTCAGAAGTTCAGAAAGATCCAGTACCATATCTGACAAAGTTCCAAGCTAAAAGGAAATCAGAACATGAAGGTTCTAGGTGATTGGTTGATTTGTTGGGCAACCCTCTCTGTTTCCAGGGAAACTGCTAAGATATTAAGCACTACCTCTGATTAAATTCACATGGTACATTACAAGACATAGTGTGAGTAAAAGAGGATATATTAGCAGCTGTATTAATTACATAGTATAAATAGCTACTAATGATTTTTGAGCTTTATGTGCTTGACACTGTAATAAGCCTTTATATGCAATTTCTTCTTAAACACAAAAGCCTATGGTGGTGTATATTTTACACTGAAGAAAATAAGAATTAAATTCTCAAGTAATGTGCCTGAACATCACTCTGCTAGAAAATGAGACCATAAAAATTCTGATCTGGGTCTATCCATGAGTAGAGTTCAAATATTTAACCTCTTAGCTATAGTGCTAGATGACATTTATCTTGGTAATTTGACAAAAAAATAACAATAGCAGCTAACATTCATTAAATATATGCCAGATATCCTTCTAAATCATTCACATTAATTCTTATATAGATTATATGATCTCACTATCTAATACTGATAGGACTTATTAAATGTGTCTTATCAAATACGCAACCTTGGAATATGCCTAACAGAAATATATGTATTACACACACAGACACACACACACACACACACACACACACACATACACACTACAATGCTTATAGCATCCCAATTTGAGATAGCCCCAAATTGGAAACTATCCAAATATATTTCAGTGGTTGAGTAGATAAATATATTGTAGCATATACAAAGGACAGAATACTATACAGCAACATTATGTGGAATGTCAAAAATAAAATATTGAATGAAATAAGCCAGACTTTTAAAATATCTACTAAACCTATTTCTGTGAAATATAAGAAATAGGCATAACTATGATATTACAAGTCAAGACAATGATTATCATTTGAGGTGGGGAAAGGGACTAGCAGGGAACACAAAAAGAGGATTCTGGGTGCTATAAATGTTCTTTTAAAAAACATGACTGTTGGCCGGGCGTGGTGGCTCACGCCTGTAATCCCAGCACTTTGGGAGGCCGAAGCAGGCGGATCACGAGGTCAGGAGATCGAGACCACGGTGAAATCCCGTCTCTACTAAAAACGCAAAAAATTAGCCAAGCGCCATGGCGGGCTCCTGTAGTCCCAGCTACTCAGGAGGCTGAGGCAGGAGAATGGCGTGAACCCGGGAGGTGGAGCTTGCAATGAGCCAAGATTGCACCACTGCCCTCCAGCCTGGGTGACAGAGCGAGACTCCACCTCAAAAAAAAAAAAAAAAAAAAAAAAAGAAAATTGACTGTTGGCTGGGCATGGTGATTCATGGCTGCAAGCCTAGCACTTTGGGAGGCCGAGGTGGGAGGATAGCTGGGGGCCAGGAGTTAAAGACCAGCCTGGTCAACGTAGTGAGACCCCATATATGAGTGTTGGTTATATGGGAATGTTCAGTATGTAAGTATTCATTAAGCTGTACACTTATGTTAAGTGTGCCTGTATATTTGAATACAACGTTAAAGTTAAGTCACGATATTGGGCTTTCTTTTTCTGGGTCTCCTTTTCCTATCGTTACTATCTCCTTATGTCTACTTTATTTCTTTGTTTCTTCAATGCTAGGCATAAATTTCAACGTAAAAAAAAAATCTTGAATATATTGTGCCTTCCGTTCATAAAGTTAACTATAGATTTGGGGAAAAATGTTTGCAAACACAGAAAGTTTAAGATATTACAAATATTTTTAAGCTTAGAAAACATTTATATTTATATCTGAACATTGGTCTTAATTTACTAATCAGTTTTAAAACTATTTTTACCTTTTAGTCTCTTTCATTTGTTTTCATTTCAAAATTAAAGCTCATTTGATTTCATTCACTTTTGACCCTTAATTCTTTCACCTTAAGTATACCATCAAAATAAAAATTTAGCTAATTTTTAGAACTTTGTAAACAGAAAAATCTGAGCCTCAAAGGATCTTTTAAAAGCAAATATGCATTTATATTAATAAATTACAGAAATACTATATCTTCAGTCTCACAGACTTGAAAAAATGCTGACATTACTATTTAGTTCACTGTTCTGCCATACCGTAAGCATTTAACCGTGATATCTGTCCTATATATTTCCTTCACTTTTTTTATTATTAATTCAAACATTTATTTTTATACCCACTATGTGCTAGGTCCTCTTCTATTAGGTAGTGGATACAGCAGTGAATAAAAAAAGACAAAAAAATATGTCCTTGTAAACCTTGCATAGTAGTGAGAGTGAGAAGCTATATAAAATAAAATATGAAGTGAATACACAGTATTTCAGATATTGACAACATATAGCAGGGCATGGAAAGTAATAGAGAAAGCAAGAGTTGTTATTTTAAATAGGGTGTTCAAGAAAGGCCTTTTTAATAAGGTGCGTATTTTGTTAGAAACTGGAAGGAAGTGAGGCCTGAGAAAAGCAGATGTCTGTGAGAAGAGCAATGCACATAGAGGGAGGAGCAAGGACCAAGGCTTTAAATTGGGAGTGCTGGTGAGGGAGAGTTTTAGGATATGTTCAGGAAACTTGCCAGGTGGTTAGGTTTTGTATGATCTTGTACGTCATTATAAGGACTTTAACTTTTATTCTGAAAGCCACTGGAAGCCACTGGAGGGTTTTGAACTATAGAATAAAATAATCTGTATTACCTTTTTGAAGGGCACCATTAGCTTTCCTGTTGACAATAGAACGTGTGTGTGTGTGTGTGTGTGTGTGTTAGCAGTAGTGGTGGTGGGAGAAATACCTCAGAGAAAAAGTATGGAGATAAGTTAAAATACAATTGCCAAAATCCTGTAGAGAAGAGGTGGTGGTAACTGAAGCCTGTGTTAAAGTTCTAACCCCCAGCATGATGGTATTAGGAAGTGGGATTGGGGGAGATAATTAGATCAAGAGAATAGTACCCTCATGAGTGGGATTAGTGCCCTTGTAAAAGACCTTGGAGAGCTCTCTAACTTTCCTTTTGTCATGTGAGGATACAACCAACCAAGACATCCAGTCACTTGCAAACCAGGACGTGGTTCCTCATCAGATAGCAAATTTGCAGGGCACCTTGATCTTGAACTTTGTTGTGTAAGTCACCCAGTCTATGGTATTTTGTTATAGCAGCTTGAACTAAGATGTAATTACCTCACCATTACTCTGAGTTAATTCCTCTTCTGGCCTGCCCTTAGCATCTTGTATATACTTCCATCACAGGTTTTTACCAATACTTCCTGTACACTGAGAGTATGGTGGAAGATAGCAGTCATATTCAATATAAATTTAATGTGAGCCACTGAGGTAATTTTAAATTTTCTGAAATCATCAACCAATAAGTAAAAAAGGTGAAATCACTATTATGTTTTTTAACCCAATATATCAAAAATATAATTTCAACATGTCATCAGGATAGAAAACATAAATGAGAAATTTTACATCTTTTGTTTTCATACTAAGTCTTCCAAATATTAAAATTTCATCAGAAATACCTGATTTGTGTTTGCATTTAATAAAACGTACAGTTGAAGAATAGATTCATATACTTGAGTTGTTCTGACCATACTTAAAATTTCAAATAACTGAATTGAGAATCAGTTTTAAAATTCTAATTTAATACTTAAAATTTGATAAAATTTATTTCTTCCATCCTTGTAACAACATTTTAAGTCATCAGTATCTACATATGACTACTAGCTATTGTATTGGTCAGTGTAGGTGTATAAAATCATTTTTTTTGCCTTCATATATACAAATAGTATAGTATAATGAAACATATACAAATGTATATGTGAATCATGAGATTAAAAAGTACTAGGTAGCATACTTTTTGAGATTATGTTATTTCCCAGCCACATTCAATTACACAAGGGAAGGCATGGAGTAAACAGAAAGGTAATTTTAATTAGGCTTGGCATTTTTCCAGGAGAATGAAGTAGAAGAGAAGGGGATCAAAGAACTTGAGTACATAAGTAAGGCAGTAATGATAATGATGGACCTTAGAATTTAAGCTTGTTAGAGGTATAATATTCCTACCAATAGTGCAAATTCTGAATCTAATGAGAAAACGTGAAACCAATCCAATTTGGAAGACTTGATAAAATAACTGGCTTATATTCTTCAAAATTTAAAGGTCAGGGAACACACAGACAGGGTGAAAAAATGTGCCAGATGGAAGAACACTGGAGCAATAGGACATCTAAATGCAATGTGGGATCCTAGATTGGATTGTGAACTAGGAAAATATAATTGTTGTAGACATTATTGGGTAATTGATGAGATTTGAACATCTACCTCAATCAGATAAGAGCATGGTATCAAGTATAATTCCTTGATTTTGATCAATGTACCACAGTCACTAAAGAAAACCTCTTGGTTCTAAAAAAATATGCATTGAAATATTTGGAATAAGAGAACAAAATGTCTACAACTTATTCTCAAGTGGTCCAGTAAGAAAATGGGGAGATAACAAGAGAGAAAGATAGAAACAGCAAGAATGCAAAACAAATGATAAAACAAATGGGACAGCTTGTTAACTCCTGATCTAGTCAAACAGTATATGGGATTTATTTGCACTATTCTTTTAACTATCCCATACATTTGTAATTGTATTAAATAATAGAATTCAAGTCTAGCTGAATGTTTGTGAAGTTTTCTAGACTAACCTAAAGATGACAATATGGGTTCCCTTAGAAGCAGGAGTGGAGATCGGGATTCAAGTTTAAGCAATTAATTTGGGAGCTTAAGGATAAAGGATAAGTGAGTAAGGACATTAAATAAAAAGACAGAAAAGGGAGCAATGAGGGCTTAATATTGAGGTAATTGTTACCATGAGCCACAGGAAACCCAGGTTCTAGCATGGAACATATATTTCAAATTTGTGGACTGAAATTCATATGAAGGAAATGAGATACAGGAAGGTCTCAGTTATAATTATATATGCAATATAATTATATATACTATTATAATCACACATTTCAATTTGCATCTGTGGATTGAGAGAATTAGGTTTTGTACACCAGTTCGTATCAGTTATTGAGTAAGGAATGGTCTTAGGTAGCCCTGATTCCCCAACACTTGTGGCCTGGAAAACAGGAGGGTGAAGGTATATTTCAGTAGCTGGAGAAAGCACTCAGATAAGGAATATAATTCCTAGTGGAGTAATTTGGACTGAGTATACTAAAATGATAAGGACAGAGGTATTTATTGAACACCACTACCATCTGCTATACTTGTTGACACTTTATCAACCTTTGTGTTATCAAATTACTATTATCATTATTGTTTTTACTAATACTAGTACTATTACAGTTTAAAATATTCACAGCAGAAGGTAGGCTGGAGAGCGAAGTAGTCATGTCTTTTATTGGAAAATTAATAGCAATTATGCACCAGCACAAAAAAACTTTTTAAAAGCTTATCCAAAACATTGAAAAAGTTGAACAATTCTATTTGATAATGTTTCTTCATGTTTCCTTAAAAAAGGGATTTAAAGTTTCTCTTTACCAGACTAAGTAAGGCCAGTGTGCAACTAGGAAATGAATTGAATAAAAAACAAAAGAGTAAGAGTTCTCTGATTAACACAAAACCCAAACTACAAGTGTATTCATTTAGGCATTGAAGGAAGTTACTATTTATGTAAAACATTTTGATGTAATGAATCGTTATTCATTTAATTAGTAACTCCCAGTTCACAACTAGTTTACTCAATGTTTCCTATACAATGTTAAAACACTCTGGTGGAAGAAGGGGACAAAAAAGATCCCTCATGGGGTTTCGTTTTGTTTCTAATGCAGCATAATAATAATTTAGAGCACAGTCTGCAGAGCTAGATTAGATGTGTTCAAATGTTTTTTGTTTGTTTATTTATTTTTGGTTGTTTGACCTAGGTTTAATTACCTTCTTGTGTCTCAGTCCCTTAACTTACAGATTTTTAGTATGCACTGAAATGAGTGGATACATGATGAATGCGTAAGCCAATTCCTGGAACACATGTGCATGCTATTAAGAGAGTAAGTGAATGTGTGTGCCTCTGTGTGTGTATGGGTGTGCATGTGTGCATAGACTTTTCCCATTAATAAATATGTACCTGTTTCCTCCAAAGCTGAATGTACACAATTAGCTTCACGTAATCTAGAAAGAGCAGTGTGTGGAATGCCAGTCTATGAGGAATTCATTTTAATTTGATAGTTTACTGTTTTTTTGGAGGAGAAATGGGAGAACATTTGCAGAGCTATTTTGATAAATGTATTTTGTATTTCAAAGACATTTAACCTTTCTCCTGACTATCTGATTTATCTCATCCATGTTTATTAATGTCGGTGGTTATGATAATCTCCTTAAGTGCCACATAATGATTTATTAATGACCTGTTCTGTGCCCGTACACAGAGATTTGAGAAAAATTAAATGACACCTTCCAGGAGATTATAATTTATCTGAAGCTTGTTTTCTCTTAATATATTTATTTGCATAGTTTGTTTCCTGAGTGCTATTATAAATTAGATAATTATTTATTCTGTTGTATGATTTTTCTGTTGTAGAAATGGAAGTTTAAAACTTGGAAATGTTGGTAAGTGGAATAGATTTGAATATTTTAAATCATTAAGAAATAGTTGAATTCAAAATTTTCTGAAGAGTTTTCGTTGTCAGTTTCTTTTTTCCTAGAGTGCCTTAAGTGGATACTACCATCTTTGATTAAAATGACATCAAAACAGCAAAGCAAAAGCCATGAGCTAATGCTTAATTAGTTTATTATAGGATATCATTCAGGACATTTAAAAAATTACATAAGTAAAACAAATCATGCTCTCAAAAATAAGCATTATTTAGGCTTCATGAATTTAAAAAACTATCAAAATATTTGATTATTTTAGAGAACACACAATACCTATGTAATCAACAGTCAGTTCTAAGTTTAAAAATAAATTTTGATTATACAATATACAATATCTTAAGTCCACATTAATGGAAATTTATTTTTTGAAATTAAATTTGTTGAAAACTAAAGAAAAACAAAAACATTAAAAAGTAAGCAATTCTCAAATAAATTGTAAAATCACAACTTTGACAAAAAGTTGAAATATAGACAAACAATATTTGAGGATTACGATGCAACAAGTATTTCATATATTATAGTCCACAGAACTAGGAAATCAACCTTCTACCCCACATCACATTTCTCAGCTCTGAGCCACAGTTTCTTTAAGAATAAAACAATAAATGCAATATGGACTCTGCTTTCTGAAAAATTTAGCATATTAAAATCAACTTAACCATTGATATCTTATATTGAATTAATTGATTACTTTTTTCTGAAAGAAATTTAATGAGAAATGAGGTAGAAGAAATTTTAGTTGTAATTTTTACAGAGAAGCCAGACAAATAGTTTCAGAAGGAATTCTATAGAACAAATGATAGTCAAACTGTAAAACTATGATTCATTCATCCAATTATTTACCAAGTATGGATTAAGCACCAATTTCATGCTGTGTCCTGAGCTTGGCACTGGGAATACAATAGTTCTGTAACTCAATATTATACACAACTTAAATGGACGCATTGAAATGAAGAAACTAAGGCAGGATAATGTAAAAAAAAAACAACACTTTTTTGCTTATTGCTTATATCCAGTTGAAGCTTCCTTATATTTTACAATGGTATATTTATTCTAATTGTATGAGTTAATAAAAATTAAGCTCTTTGAAGTTTGTATATTCTCAACATTTTTGATGGCTTAAATGTATGGATTCATTTTAGCACTCTGTAATCTTCAATATATTTCTACTCTTATGTATGTGCTTAGCTCATTTTTTATTCTTAAAAAATCATCTAGCTAACATTATTCACCAAATGCTTCAAGTATTTATTAATTTAATATTGTTAAACATTATTCTTTTATGAATAAAAATGCTCTTAAAATAGCCATTTGTGACAGCTTTCCAAATATTCATCATAATAAAGCTATGTATTACAGTAATAAAGTTTAAAGATGAGCAAGCATTAGGTACTCACAGTTACATAAGTTTGACTGTGGAAAGTTATTTTTCTTATGTACTTAATATATTTATCAATACTATAAATGGTGATATTGTAGTATCCTAGTGTTAAAATTCATCAATAAGGCAAATCAAAGCAACAGTCACGAGCATGAAGAATTAGACATAAATTTTTTTCTTTGAAGATAGACGTTGAGGATTTTGGTATTAACACATGATTCATGTACAGAAAATTTTGTTCCTTCCTCTTTTATTTCCTTCAGATACTTTTGAAATGACATTTAAATGTAGTTCTAAATATTGTTATAGGAATTAAGACTGTGGACACAAGATTAATCTCTCCAGAAATATGGAATTTAAATAGATGCATTTCTATAATACATAGTTGCATCAGTGTCATTTAACAATCTTAGGGCCATGATATTTTTGTGAATTTAATAAAATACATTGAGCCATTCCTCAAAATATCTCAGTGTTTTCTACATGCAATTTTGCAGATGATTTATGTCCTGGTTGAGAACTCCTGACTTTATCTCTAAGGTACTTTCAATCCTTAGGTTTCCACATCTCTAACACCAGGGCATTAATGATACTGCAGGTTGTATCGCAATTTTCAAAATAAACTGAGATCATGGAGGATGGATAGATTGTTACAGTGAATAATGTTAAGGTTAGCTAAAAATCTATATTGCCTATTTTGGTCAGTATGCTAAAGAAGAAAAATGGATTGAAATGTTAAGGTAGTTTCCAATCTCATAAGTGTATAAATGTTGGGAATAAGCCCCCCAAAATCTGGCCATAAGCTGGCCCCAAAACTGGCCATAAACAAAATCTCTGCAGCACTGTGACATGTTCCTGATGGCCATAAAGCCCTTGCTGGAAGGTTGTGGATTTACCGGAATGAGGGCAAGGAACACCTGGCCCACCCAGGGCGGAAAACTGCTTAAAGGTATTCTTAAGCCAGAAACAATAGCATGAGTGATCTGTGCCTTAAGGACATGCTCCTGCTGCAGTTAACTAGCCCAACCTATTCCTTTAATTCGGCCCATCCCTTCGTTTCCCATAAGGGATACTTTTAGCTAATTTAATATCTATAGAAACAATGCTAATGACTGGCTTGCTGTTAATAAATATGTGGGTAAATCTCTGTTTGGGGCTCTCAGCTCTGAAGGCTGTGAGACCCCTGATTTCCCACTTCACACCTCTATATTTCTGTGTATGTGTCTTTAATTCCTCTAGCGCCACTGGGTTAGAGTCTCCCAAACTGAGCTGGTCTTGGCATATAAGTAAATATAATTCATCATTTTCCTAGCAAGTAAGTATGTTTAAAACTTATTTTCTATATATTGTTTCTTAATATATTTTGGAGGAGTAAGAAATTCTGCTACCATCCTTTCAATTCAATTTAAAACGGAATTTTAAAAATCATATATTCTGAATTCTGGTTTTCAGCTCAGAGATGTAGAGATGTGAAAAGAGCCTCAGAACAACTAGAAAGCTAGACAAATTTCAAATTAGCAACTTTTCTTGAATTTATCAGAGAACTAAGATTGCAATGCAAACAAGCAACAAAAATCTGGAAATGTAACTGCAGCGAAGGAAAAAAGTGAACATTTGAATATCTGAGTCAATTCTGAGCCATCTGAATCTAAATAAGCCAGGAGGAAGATAAAGCTAGAAATTTTTAATGAGTCACTAAAGGACAAATATGGGCTGGAGTGAGAGTATGAAGACTCTGGAGGATACAGACATACAGGAGTTCTTCCTCTTGCAGGCTTTTTTTTTTTTTTCAGTAACCTCACCAGAATCACGCAGAGTGGAGCAAAGACAATCTAGAGAACATTCTCTTTATGACTTACTTGGGGAAGGGAATAGCAGTCACTGCTGAAATATTTCAACTCACTTCTGCCTCCAAAATGAAACAAAAGACTCCAGAGAGAAAGCCATCAAAACCTGTAGCCGATGCATACTGGCAGAATCCCACTGCAATTATTGTAGGGAACAGAAGCCAGCACCTAAACTCTCCCAGACCTATGTCTCTCCAAAGTAAAGTCAAAGAAACCTTAATCTGCAGGGGATGGAGACCAACACTATAATCTAAGGACATTGGTTAAAAACACAGTTCAGCTGGGAGATGGGGACGGAAAATAAAAACAATCTCCTCCCCCGAGGAAGGCTAGGAATACAGGCTAGCCCCAGTATTATGACTGGAGTGGGGATAGAAACATGGTGAAATCCATGCCTGCTAAATCCAGGATCACAATGCCTGCATAACAGCAAACTTTAATCAGATCAAAGAAAACTGTATCCTGTTCCATTCCCCACCAACATGCTAATAGATTAATTCTGCTGCAGAAAGATAACTCAATAATCTATTATAATAATATAATAAAACTATATTTTGGCATTCCAGCCTGGGCAACAGAGCAAAACCCTGTGTAAAAAAAGAAACAAAACAAAAATAAAAACCAAAACAACCTGTATTTGGAAGGTGTTGGAAAGTGATCAATGCACACAGGACTTGGTGACCTATAATCCTTGACAGAGGGCAGATGTGATGTAATATCCATATTCACTTTGTCTTTTTCCTCAAGGATATTACCAAATCATTGTGTATGAAGTAGAGTGCATGTAAAAAGCAGCAGCCTTCCTGAACTTGGAGACATTATAGTCTAGTTCCATCAAATGGCTGTGATTTAAGAAATACGAACCCATAAAGGGAAGAACTCTACAGAAGGAGCCCTTAAATCTATATGCAAACACCACTCAAGCCTTGGACTCCTGAGCATATACAATAATAAAGGCATAACTTTAAGATACCTAGTACAACACAATAGCTGGGAGGATACTGAAGAAAGATTTTAGATGCTCTAGAGAGTTAGAAAGCAAGGTTGTACTTTCAGATTTTACCAATGTGGAGACATTATGGTAAACCACATGAGTTTTTAGCTAAAAACCCATAAGGCCACAAACTTGGAGCAAGAGGTATACCTTAAAAGTAACTTCCTAGGAATAAGTGCTTCACCTTAGGAGTAAGGGAAATTATAAAATAAACCTACTTGAAAAACAAGCAGCAAAAAGGCAGGATCAAGCTGATCAATTGTTACTGGATTTCAGAAGAAATTCAGAATAAAATTAATTTCTCTTTATAAAAAACATAAATACTAATATTTTCTAAATTTGTCATCCACAATTTCATCATCCAGTCAAAAATGAGACATTCTAAGAAGTAGGAACAAATGACCAAAAAGAAAGAGAAAAACTATAACATAGAAGATATCCATAATTGATTCAGGTACTAGAGATAAAAGATAAATATCTTAAAATAATTAAAATATACAAAAACAGGCAAAGATGCGAAATGAAAATGAAAAACTTGGAAGATTTTAACATATCTTTATAATTTGCATGAAAGAATCAAATGTATTTTGGAACTAAAAAATATTATATCTGAAATTAAAAACTCATTGGATGGGTTTAGCAATATACAGAATACACAAAAACAGAGAATTAGTGATGTCAAAGCATGTCCATAAAAATATGCAATGTAAAATAAAGAGGAAAAAAGATGGAAAAGCTTCAAGAAACCTGGGGTACCATCAAAATGTCTAGTATACCACACTTTGTGTCCCAGAGGGGAGAAAAGAGAATAGAGGAATAGAGCTAATACATTAAGTGACAATGGCAGAGACTTTTTTCTTGTTCCTTTTTATAAAAAACATCTTGTGAAATATATCTTACCTATATTGAGTTACATGTACTTTGCTCTCCATCCTTAAAGCCCTGTATTACCCCTACCTAGCAATTATGATTAGGTGTTGTGATTACTCAATTTTACTTGTCTGTTTCCCACATGATATTCTAGTGAAGGAGAGCTAGTCCGTATTTTTTGGCTGTTCATCTTCAGTGTCTAATACAAAAAACCTAATAAAGATTTTTAAAAATGAATGAATAAGCACTATGGTTCATTATGTGGGGTTTTTCTTTACCTCTTTTGTTAGAATATATTGGTCTCTATGCTAAAATGGTTACATTTATCTTTCTAGTTGTAAAATTTCTTCTTTTAATCCCAGTATCATTGGAGTCATTTACCTATATGGCTTTTTTCTGACTAATTCACTAATTTACTCCTGAATGAGTCAATTATTATAATCATCCTTTGTAGTAATATTATTGTATATTAATACAATTCATTGTTATTATTTTTCCCATTTGACTAAACTGTGTTTTTTGAAGATGTTTTGACTTTCTAATCTTCATTTCTCCAGGATGTGAAAAGTGCCTTTTACATAAAAAACCCTTCTACATAATAAACTTTTCATTAACCTTTATTCATTTTCTGAAGAATGAATAAATAAATGAATGAAAAGGGAAGAAAAAAGAAAGGAAGAAAATAAATATGGCTTTTTTAATATTCAAGAGATACATAATGTTCCATATTAATTTTAAATTGCTTCAACTTTTTCAAAAGTCAGTATAAAATTTTAAAAAATGTTTTTTTCCTCATAAGAGATATGTCACTTTTGAATAAACTTGACAATTTTCCATCCTGAAATTACATCCCTGATAATCTATTCTGTCACATTTCCAAAACCTTAGAAAGCTCTTCTTCCTCATAATTCCCATAAGATATCTTAAATGATTTCTTGGAAAAAAATCTAAACTGGACTACAGGTGCATTCTTTTAAACAATTGCTTGAAAGAAAATTTGTTTCTCTGTTTTATTCTGTGAAAACTTTAATTTTCCCTACCTTGTTTCATTGGCAAGTTTAAACCTTTGTTAATCTCTAAAGATAATTCTGTGGGGCATTTTTTTTCTGGTTGCAGTCCTAAAGCAAAATGTGTGTTCTAATCAGAACTATAGATCCTCTTCTATATGTTTAATTGGCCGTGGACATCAATATATCAATAGTAAATTTCAGGTACAGATTCTCAATGTCTCAATATCCATAGGATCACTTTAATGCTAATCTACCCAGAACCATCTCATAATCCAATTTTTATACAAACTCTTGAGAACCCACAGAAATTTATATCCTCTCTCACCTTTTTCTTTCCTTTCTCATAAAAAAGCTTATACATTGTGCTAAATGCAAAAGATAAAAAATGAGTAAAGCATGGATAATTCAAAGTCTAGTTCTGCATATATGCATGCCAAAAGTAAGACATTACCTTAAGGACAGAAAAAGTCTTGCTTAACTCACTGGGCTGGGGTCAGGTTTCAAAGTCAGGTTAGCTCATGCCAGAGGCCACACCCAGCCATTGCACTCTCCTGCCTCTCATGGATATACAGCATGAAATGCGAGCTGGGGAAAGTGCCATTACAGCTGGATCAGAAGCATCTTAAAGGGTGGATGCTTGACTGAGAACAGATGCTTGGTAGTTTCTCCTACCTTATGGCTCTCTTGCTTGAACTACTGTCATTCTTTTCTATGTGTACCTTAATCTTAGAGTTTGAGCCTCTTCATTAGAGAGATCAGCAGTAGTTTGATTTTTTAGCCTTATTTTTTATTTGTGGAGTATTCCTTTAATGAAGAGTAATCCTTCAAATCATTGTTAAACACTTAAAACATGCTTTAAACGGCAAAGAAAAAACATTAAAAAATATTTTTGGAACCATACTAAGCTTTTAGATTTTGCCTTTCTTGACAATGAGTTGGGGCTGTATTATAGTTATTATCACTCATTAGTTGGAGTTGACAAGAAAGAGTGGTACAAAAATCTTCATTTTCAAGTTATGAGTACTGTATGTATATATCTATACATGGACCTATCTATCCATGCATCCACCCATCCATCTGTATGTGTGGGTAATGGAGCAAATTAGTTACAGTCTGAAAGAATAAATGATTAAAACTAACGTCAGATTCATAGCATGCCAAGGAGTAACATAAATGTTCAAATGTATAAATATGTACTACCTTATAATTTGCTTTTCACTGAATAGTTTTATAATTTTAATTTTCAGCTCAAGTTTTTTTTTCTGAGATAATGCATATCAGTTTTAGGGTAATATAAACCTCTTTAATTTAAAAAATATTATTTTAACTAATAAATATATAAGCTTCATCTTGATTATGCTTGTTAGATATTTTTCACATATATATCTCACTTCTACTTTTAGTTTCAAATTAAAATACTGAAAAATCATTTCTCATTTGACTTTAACTCTTCTGTGATATTCAACATTCTACTTTAAATTTTATTTATAATTTTAGAAGATTTTTTTAATTGTAGTGTCATCAATAGATAACTTAGCCTAGAAGTTTGCATTAACAAAGTAATATGTTATGAGTTGTCTCTGGTTCATATAGAAACTACTGAAATCAATTTTTAAAGATGACTGAATTGTCAAGAGAATTGTACTTCAAGTGATGGTCCGTGACCCACCTACCCACCCTGAGATACATTCAGTCAGTCATGGCAGCAGCAACAAATTGATGCCTTGTTTTAAAGTCACTGAAAATTAATTTAATTTAGTTTTGCTATTTATGTGACTTCTAGAGTATTTAAAGATTATTTTAGACTTTGAAGGTTTTTAATAAACATTTATTAGGTTCCCCTGCATTCACACTAGCTGTTTCCTATGAATATTCACTTTTATTATCTGTCATTGTTTTCTGGCTTAAAGTAGACATTTATTAAAACATCAAAATAGTATAACAATAAATTATTTAATTAATTGGAGTGTGTTCTGTGATAAAACATATTTGAAAATCTCTCTTCTACATTTACTGTAATCATGAGCCTTTATGTTATTCAGATGATTTTATGAACACACTTGATTATGACCTTATAAAGCACAATAAGAGTTTATACATAATGTTTTGTTTGAGCCTTATAACAAGCCATGTGCCCTGTGAAATAGAGAGTGGGTATAATGAAATCCCCATAACTAATAGTTGCCTGAAAATCCCTAGTTCCTCAATTTATGCATCGAATTTTATTTGAGTGAAAATTACTTAAATTCACATTTCAGACATGTTAGGGAAACCCAGTCTCTCTATCCTAGTATCTCCCAGAATTATCAGAAAGCTTGTATGTCTCCTAGTTATTTCTCTTCCAAATTACCAATACCTGCTAAATATTCTATTTTCTTACAGCTCACACCTTAGGATTGATTACTTTGCTTTGCAATAACTATGAAGAAGAAATACAGGCTTGTTATGGTTTGAATGCATCCTCTCCAAAATTTAGGTTTTGCCCACATTGCAGTATTAAGAGATGATTAGACCATAAGGGGTTTTCCCTTGTTAATGGGATCAAGACTCTTATAATTGAAGCTTTAGACAACATTCATTTAGCTTGCCCTTCTGCCACTTGTCAAGTGATGATGCCACAAGAAGGCCCTCACAAGACCAGAAGCTGGTGCCTTGATCTTGAATTTAACAGCCTCTAGAATTGTTAAATAAATTGAGAAATAAATTTTTGGTTTTTATTAGTGACCCAGTCTCAGATATTTTGTTTTAGTAGCACAAAACAGACTAAGAGACAAGGTTTGCTGTATTTGGCTGACTTACTGAAACTTTGAAGGCAATAGCAATAAAACAACATTACACAGCATCAACTTAAAGTCAAATATTGGATGTTCTGTTTTTTATTTTAAAGTTCTTTGACCATCCCTGCTTCCTTCACTGTGAATTTCCTCTTTCAATGATTTTGGGTCGTTCTTTCATTTTCTCCTTTTCACCTTTTACTCTCTCACTTATCTCTTCCTCAAGATATAAGTTTGGGAACTCAATTTCTTGTTCTTCTTACAAAGAAAATCCAAGCATCTGTTTCCAACTACTCTTTAGATATCTAGTGATTAATTAATATGCTCAGACAAACAAATACCCATCTACTCTGGGTCTAAGTGTCCATCATAGAGAAGATATGACAAAGGCTTTGGAATTTTGTTCTCTTTAATTTCTCTCCCCCTCTCTATTTGTAAGTTGTATTGAACTAAATAAAGATTTATTTTTCTCACTGATCTTAATTGTATCATTATTGTTAGAAAGTAGGAATAAATACAATATTTTTCATTAACAGCAGTTTGCCACTTCCGGCAACACCCACTTTAAATTTGAAGAAACTGAGGATCAGAAACGAACGAACTAGCTTAATTGAAAGATATTGAAAAGACAGGACACAACTCCTAGGGCCTTTTTCATTGTATGTCTTCCTATTTTGAGTCCTAACAATGATTTCCAGTGATATCAATGTAGTTAGACTATTGCCATAAATATTTAGACCTTTGGTGAGTATAATTTTAAGTGTGTGTGAGAAAGCGCACAATTATACAGAATTGTTTTGCTTTAAAATTACATAGAAATATTTGAAATTGCCCAAAAGCTGTTTTCGTTTATTTAAAAAATATTTGCTGTCACCTTCAGTCAGATAGACAGGGCAAGCGCTTACCTACAGGAACAGAAGGACATAAATAGTTTTCATGATTTGTGAAACTGTCTTATATTGCCGAAAAACAAGGGTGTAAGTAATCTTTTCTTCAACGCCTAAAGAACTATAAATAAGGGGATTTGGGAGAGGTCCCAGACAGGTACAGAGGGGGATTTTCTTGTCCTGCTCCACGTCTTGTTTCAATAAATGTTAAGCAAAAAGCAATTATGACAATAGAAAGTGACAAAGTTGTATTATTGTCAGATTGTATTATTTTTAACTGATTTTTGGAAAGCAGAACACATTGGAGAAACACTCATTTTAACTTAATCTATTTTGTGCCCAGTGGCACAACCAGGAGTCAGTAAAGAATGGTGAGATCCGTGACTATGCTGGGTCCACAAAATATCGGCAAGGAGACCTGGCCTGAACTTTGAACTAGGTCTCAAGGCTGGCTGCAGTGGTCTGCACTGTGCTCTTTGGGGACAAGGGATTAGGTATTACTGTTTCTCAAAAAGGAATCCATGATCTTTTATCTCAAAGGATATGGAAAATTTTCAAAACACATATTTATGACTCATATCAGACTTCCTAAGCTAGAATCCCTGTATATAAGGAATCTGTAATTTTAGTGTGATTCTTATGAACTAAAATAAAAGAACCACTGCTATAAGTGTAAGTTTCAGTGACTGCCATAGAATAGAGATGGAGAAGTGAGAGAGTTGATTTTAACTTTGTGGTGAAGACAAAGATATTAGTAAATAACTGGGAGTCTTAGATTCTAATTCAGTTTAGCTAGACAGCTGGTTTAGCAGATTCTAATAAAATTCACTGATGAACCTCTCAGAATTTCTGAGCATGATGAACTAAAGAGCCCTAAATACGAAGTTTATGTGCTCACACAGTTGTTCAGTAAAATAAAAACTTACAAGTTTTTACTCTTACAAGTATTTACTCTTACAAGAGTAAATATTCGTAGTTAGATTTGAAGAAGCAAATCAAAATTCCTAGAATGTATAGATTTGCTAACATTTGTGCTTAAATTTGTTTTTCATATACTATACCCCTTCTATAAATATAATAATCTTTATAAACAGTCATTCAGTGAAGAAACTGATTAGGAAAAAAATAATGATAGTATGAAAATCAGGTCTCTCTGATCTCAATTGCAGTTACAGGAATATAACTTAATTTCCATGTCTATGTTAACTGGTATGATTGCCTGTTGGAGCTGTTATCCCAAATACAAATTCTAAATCAAGCAGTGGAATTCTTAAAATGGTGGGAGCAAATCTTAGTAATGATAAATAAAATATGAGAGTCACAAATTAAAATTCATATCAAAACAACCGGTGTTATAGGTATCTTACAGCTCCTTGAGTCTTTAAACAAGTTTTTTGCATTTTTCTTGATTAACTACAAACATAAAGAAGACTAGACTTATTTGTTCTCCCTTAATCTATAAACTAAAAGTGGTAAAAATATAATAATTTATATCACCCCATGAACATCTTTATTTATTAATGTGCATAGATATTAACACCCATCTTAAATGAAAAATTGATATTAAAAGTAGGAGTATTAACAGACAGATAAAATGCCATTTGTGGTGAGCTAAATCTAACTTAAAATCCTTTTAGCAACTGATAATGAATGTTTGAATCAGTATGGTTACTGAAATTTCTTGAACCTGGGTTTCCTCATCTTTCCAACAGGACTAATAATTACATTATTGCAGGGCTACAGTAAGCATAGGAATAGCATATGTGCTGTAGCCAATAAACAATAACTATTAACATTATTATTTTTTGTTTGTAGTGACAATTAATTGACTTATTGTGCTTTTGTTTCCTCTGGTAGGGATATTAAATAATATTTTATTTGGAGGGAAGAGAATACATTGTATATGTATATGTATATGTATATGTGTGTGAACATGATCCTATGTATAGAAAAAGTTCTATGAAATTCCTTAACCAGAGAACATAAAATATTGTCTCCTTGATGACCTTAGTTTGACCCATTTGGTGATTACAAGATGAAGATGTACAGACACCAGGTATTTGCCATATTTTAGTTACTCTTCCACCTGGGAGGTAGCCAAACAAGTGTACACAAAGGCAGAAATGGCAAAAGAGGCAAGAGATTGCTCTTGAAGAGCTGATGAATTCTAGTAAGCTTCATTGGAATCAGGGGATTTAAAAAAAAAATGGTAAGCCTAATTAACCTAAGAGCAAATTAGACCTTACAGTCAGCTGGCTCCAAATCCATTCATCTCTGATCTTCCAATTTTGTTACCAAGGGGAAAATGGCTGAATCAAAGAATAGCCTCTAGTAGCAAAAATGTTTGTTCTAATGCTTAATGTCTAAAAGCTAAAACAGGTAAGCCAGGATACTTGCTTTTAAACTTTTATAAACCAAAAGCTAGTAAGAAATGCATTTATATCTGGACCCAGAATACACACATATACTTAACTGAATAAAAAGTTTCACAGTATATACTATTTGCCCTTACTAAGTGTGAAACAATTTGATGCATTGTATTCTATTCAAAATTACCTTTTAAAACCCAAGAACAGTGCAGTTGTCTATCCCAGGCTGCAATCTATGTTTGTGAATGACAGTGAGGAACGAGGGCATTATTTTTTTTCTTATGAAACATCAGGAGAAATCAAAGAGATATCAAATCTGTCTCTCCCTTTGTATTGGATCAACTTGAGAAGAATGAGAATTGAGTATACACTTTTTCATTCTTTTTTTTTTTTTACCGAGTATGTATTTTTCAGTTTAACTCACATTAGGTATTCACGAAGTCTTCTCAGACAACTTAACCTCCTCCTATTTTACCTCAACCCAGGGCTAGATTAATTCTTTCAATTTTTATGTTTTCAACATACCCTGGGCATTTCTCCCTCAGTGCTTTTACCACATGACATTAAGATGACAATGATAACTACAACAACGACAATGATGATGATGATGATGATAATGATGATGGTGATGTGTATGTATGTTTCCTTCACTGATCTATGCGTTTCTCAAGACAGGAAATAGGTCACAAGGAAAGACTTGTTAAATATTAATTTTATGACAATAAAATTATTATAAAATAGATTGAAGAGAATGAACTATATTCTGGTAGCCAGTCTAAACTAAAAAAGAAGTTTTTTTAAAATTTCTATTTTACACTTATTCCTTATAGTCTACCCAATTCCCCTGGCTGTAAGCTGGCTGCTACATATGATTCTTTGTGACTGCAAATACTGTGTATAAGAAAGGATCTATTTCAGCAAATCCTGAGAGGATTATTTGTGTATCCAAAACATTAGTCAAGCTAACACATAGGTAAGTTCTATTGGAAGCATCATGATCCAAGAAACTGCCTGTGATCTGCATGTATAAATCTTCCCTGTGTCACTGTAACTTCTTTTTTACCTTCATATATTAACTTTCAAAATAATCAACATACCGACACTCATCATTTAATACGATAATGATTTGAAGATTACTGAGGAAAATATGTATTAACAGGAAAAATTTGGCACTAATATTCATAACCCCTGCTTCTTAATCAAAATTTTCCATCAAAATTAAATATTCATTAACAAAAATATATTACCTGCTTTGTTTATTATCAAAAATGGCAATTTCCCCACAGCTCAACTATCAAGTCCTTATACTAAAAAGTCAAGTGTAAAAGACTTTACTTCTATAAACTTTCTGATTACCAGAAAAACCTTAACTTAAACCTCCTGTGGTGACCTCCAGCTAAGCCTTCCAGGTGGAGGAAGTGGGAGGAGATAAGTCCATCTATTCAGAGTTGAGCTGGGTTTGGTTATGACAGAGCTCTACAGGTTCTAATTTTCTATAGTGGCACTCAGTGCTTAGAGTGGTTAGTTAGAGACATTTTTGTTTTGTTTTGTTTTTATTTGCCCCCCATGTCTGCTCCATTTTCAGCTTTAGATCTTTTCTTTGTGCTGTTCCATAGAGGGCCTTTCTCCATGTTCTTGCCCTGCTTCCAGGTATTCAAGCTGTCTCTGCTTCCTCAGTGCTCATTGACTTCGGGGTAGAGAGGGGTGGATGTTGGACAGGGACTTTCTCTCTTCTGATTAAGTCTAAGTATTAGGCAGGTACCTCATCCTGAGGGTCAGATGTAGGAGTTTGGTCAGGGTGGTGGGAGAAATTATAAGAGGAAATTATAGAAAGAAGCAAACCTCCTTGAAAGGCCAGGAGGTTTTGCAAAAGCTTCTGAAAAGGATTTGGCTGAAGGCAGTCAGATTATCTTATCTGGTGCCTGATAGCTTAGGTTAGATAACAAGGGGACGTAAAGAAGCTAATCTAGATATGTTCGTTTACTTAGACCTCGGAACCTGGCCTTTAATCATCCGCATGCAGGACTGCTCTCTCTGGTTGGGGTGACCATGTCAATTACCCACAAGTGTGTTGACTCAAAGCCTTTGTCATTAAATCTGTACTAAATAAATGCCCACAGTGCCAGCTTGTCAGGGCTGTGGCTGCTTCAACTCTTTCTGTGAGTGGCCCAGTCTCTTAGCCCACTCTTTCACTGGATACCTGTGTCTGAATGCATTTTTTCATCCATCGCTCTGTCAGGGTCTGTGGGTCAGACCCAGCTGGTGGTGCCCCACATGAGGAATGCTACAACAGATCGTGATGAAACCTTTGGAACTAAAGGTGAAGAGACTGTGCAGTCAGTAAGTCAGTAAGTCATTGGTGCCTGCTCGGGATTTCCAAGTTTGAGGGAAGTGTTCAGGCTAGGGTTTCATCATGGGACAACAGTTATCAGCTCAACAGCAACAGTATATAAAAGTATTGAAACAGCTGCTTAAAGCTAGAGGAGCTTTGGTTTCACAGGCTCAATTAAGGGACCTAATGAAAACTGTTGTTTTCCATAACCCATGGTTCCCAGAAGAAGGTACACTAGACGTAGAGATCTGGGAAAAAGTGGGGAGAAAACTTACATCATATGCAAGGGCAATGGGTCACAGTAACATCTCTAACATTATGGGCTTTAGGTAGGGTGGCTCTGGTCCCACACTACACAGAAGAGCCTAAAAAGGGAAGGGAGGAGGAACTGTCAACTACCTTACTGCCTCCATCTCCCTCAGCCTTGCTGTTTCTGGACAAAAATAACAAAGAGGAAATGGAGGTTTTGCCTGAGCCCCCTCTTCCAATAAATTGGAAAAAAGACAAGGGATACGCTACAGCGATGGGACCCTGTCTTAGGCAAGCAGCATTAGAAGGGGAGCTCTTAGCCTGCCAGGCAATGCAAGATCAACAAGACAAACAGATAAAAAAGGGCATTAGAGAAAACAGAGCCTCTAGCCCAATTATAAAAGAGTTAATTGAGGTCAATCTACAGACCTCTTTCTAATAGTAGCCACTGTTACTCCTCCACTACCCTTGACATGGCTCTCTCAAAACCTTATTTAGGTAGAATGGTGACCTTTAAAGGGAGAGAAATTACGAAGAGCCCATGAGACAGTTGAGGAGCAATTAAAAGCTGGCCATATAGAACCATCCAACAGCCCTTGGAATTCGCCCATTTTCATCATTCCTAAAAAGTCTGGTAAATGGAGACTTTTGCATGACTTATGTGCTATCATTGCTAATTTGCAACCTATGAGTCCCCTTCAGCAGGGGCTCCCCTCCCCCATGGTGATTCATCAAGATTGGCCTATAATCATTATTGACTTAAAAGACTGCTTTTATACTATTCCCTTGCAAACAGGACAGAGAAAAATTTGCATTTACAATACCAGCCATCAATAATGAAAAGCCAACTTGCCAATTTCATTGGAAAGTGCTTCTTCAAGGAATGCTGAACAGTCCTACCATGTGTCAGTATCACGTAAATCAGGCTTTGCTCCCCAGTAGAAAAGAATTTCCTAATTTCAAGATGATTCATTTTATGGATGATATTTAAGTAGCAGTCCCAACGAAGCCAGTACTTTTAAAGTTATATGCCTCTGTCGTAAAGAATACACAGTTAAGAGGCTTAATCATAGCACCTGAAAAAGTACAGATGTCTTCTTGGAAATATCTTGGGTACATACTAACTTCCCAGTCAGTAAGACCTTCAAAAGGTTAAATTAAATACTAGCAACTTACACACCTTAAATGATTATCAAAAATCACTAGGCCATATTAACTGGCTTTGCCCCACCTTAGGCATAACTACTGATAAGTTATAGAACCTGTTTTCTATCTTAAAAGGCAATGCTGCCCTAGACTGTCCCGGGTATTTAACTCCTGCAGCACAAAGGGAAATTGAGGAAGTAGAGCAAGCTATTTCTCAGAGGCAACTGGATCAGATAGATCCATGGTATTCAATTCAATTATTTGTTTTTCCCACTAAACACTCCCCTACAGGGTTAATAGGACAGATGGCCCAGAGCTATGCTTTCTAGAATGGGTTTTTTGCTCACATACTGGGACTAAAACACTCTTTCCCTATATCCAGTTAGTTAGTAAAGTCATCCATTCAGGCCGCAGACAATGCAATCTATTACTAAGTTATGACCCTGATATCATCAGAATTCCTTTATCTAAAAAGCAATTCGAAACAGTGTTGCCCTTATCTATGGACCTGCAAATAGCACTCTCTGATTATACAGGCCATATAGAGCATGCCATTCCTGCTAAAAAACTTCTTCAGTTTTTACCTCGTACCTCTGTGGTTTTGCCTACAAAAATAGTCCAATCCCCCATACCTAATGTTTTAACACTGTTTACTGATGACTCTGGTAAAAATGGAAAAGCAGCTGTTTGGTGGAGATTGCATAATTCCCTCACTCGTTCTGGATTTATTAGAACTCAGAGAGCTGAGGTGGGAGCCTTAATATTGGCCTTGGAAAACTATTTCCACTCAGCTCATCAATATTGTTAGTGACTCTGCTTACTCTGTTTATTTATTGCAGAACCCAGAGACAGCCCTCATTAACTCCACTCTGGAGCCCACCCTGCGTGTACTTTTTCTTTGATTTCAGCAATTGCTAGATCAACGTACACATCCTATTTTTATTACACACATTTGGGCCCACATCTCACTGCCTGGCCCATTGGTTTATGTCGATGATCAAGCAAACCTACAAGTTATGACATCAGTGCTTGGTCAAGCCACCCAGTCACATCAATTTTTCCACCAAAACTGGAGAAACTTACCTAACAATTTCAACTTACCCAGAGACTAAACAAATTAGCCTGCAATGCCCAGATTGCCAGCTCACAAGCATGTCCCCTCCTTCAAGAGGTGTTAACCCTAGAGGACTAGAACCAAATCCGTTATGGCAAACAGATGTTACACATGTCCCTGAATTTGGAAAACTTAAATATGTACATGTATCCATTGATACCAATTCTCACTTAATTAGCTCTCATGCTTTTCCTGGAGAGTTCACCCAATATGTCATTAAACATCTTCTTTTAACTTTTGCATTTATGGGGCAGCCCACAAAAATTAAATCTGACAATGGTCCGGCTTACGCCAGCTCACAATTTCAACAATTTGGTCACATGTGGAACATCCAACATTCCACAGGCATCCTGTATAACCCCCAAGGACAGGCCATAGTAGAACGTGTCCATTCCATCCTTAAAAATATGCTCAGAAAACAAAAAAAAAAAAGGGGAATATGAGTAAGGATCTTGCAATACTATTGGCACAAGCCTTATTTACCTTAATTTTTAAAATTTAGATGATAAATTTTAATCAGCTGTAGAAAAGCACTTTGCTAAAACCTCTCAAGACATAAAACCTGCAGTTTTATGGTAACATGTAAACAGTAATGTATGGTGTGGTCCAAATGAATTGTTAACATGGGGAAGAGGATATGCTTGTGTTCACATTCCCTCAGGTCCTCTTTGGATTCCAGCACGACACATCAAACGATACCATTGCATGGCTAGGACCCAACCCGGTACCAGTAATAAAGAAAATGACCCTACAGGACCAACAACACCAGGCAATGCGGCTTCCTCAGGTGACACAGGCCCCAGACATGATGCTGAAAAAGACAAGTCAGAAGACTGAGCAAATCCTACTCCAGACACAGACACCATTCACTCCAGATAATTTGCTCCTTGCTATGCTTTATTCATCCTTTTAAATTCTCTCATTCTACCTGCAACCAGTACCTGCTACACTCTATTGGGACCATCTTCTAAATCTGCCTTTCTTCTGTCCTGTTACTTAGACAAACACCCCCTTCCCAGCTTCTAACAAATGCGACTGCTTAGCTAAGAGGGATTAACATACCCCTAGTGGGGTTCCTTAGTAACAGCACTCATCAAACTGAAATGCCAAGTAACACTGCAGGTCACTGCTTGATTGGAAAAGAATGTTGCTAATTATACTCATGTTTGTCTTATGTTATTTACTAATTCTAGGATCAAAGCCAGAATACAAGCAGTGACCACCATGCCTGAGAGACCTGTTGCTGCACACATCTGTACTCTTCAATCAACAAACCTGATATAAAAAACAGAAAAGGGGAAGGTATAGGAGTTCAGTCAGGTGGTGGGAAAAATTATAAGAGGAAATTATAGAAAGAAGCAAACCTCCTTGGAAGTCCAGGAGGTTTTACAAAAGCTTTGGAAAAGGATTTGGCTGAAGGCAGCCAGATTCTCTTACCTGGTGCCTGAAAGCTTAGGTTAGATAACAAGGGGGTATAAAGAAACTGATCTAGACACATTAGTTTACTTAGGCCTTGGAACCTGGCCTGTAATCATCCACATGCAGGACTGCTCAATGGGGGCTGGGGGTGGTGGGGGGGCACAGGGGGAGGGGGACGGTGGCAACCATGTTGATTACCTGCAAGTGTGTTGACTCAAAGCCTTTGTCATTAAATCTGTACTAAATAAATGCCCGCAGTGCCAGCTTGTCAGGGCTGCAGCTGCTTCAACTCTTTCTGTGAGCGGCTCAGTCCCCTAGCCCACTCTTTCACTGGATACCTGTGTCTGAGTGCATTTTTTCATCCGTCACTCTGTCAGGGTCTATGGGTCGGACCCGGCAGTCAGGCAGTGAGGCTTTGTCAAAGGCTGTTCCACTCCCTGCTGTATACCTGGACCCAGCATGAATTACTGCCCTTCTCTCAAGAGTGTAGGTATTTTATTTTATTGTTCCATTCTCTTTCTCCAGCTATCATGGGTTTTCACCAATGCCTTTAGGGAAGGACAATGCTTCAGCTCCCTATCCCCTCGACTTCCCCACTGGCTTAAGCCTTTCCTTCTGTAGGAGAGAGCTGGGGTGTTTTCTCTAGTTGCTCTGGGACATTTTATCCTTCAGTGGCTACTGTTTGCCTCTTCTTTGTCCATACAACAAAGCATGCTTTCTCACTACGGTGGCCAATACTTTTCTTGAGCACTTGGAGAAGTCTCTAAAGAATAGCCTGTAAGTAGGTATGCATTCACTTTGTATATGCATTCTCCTTCCCAGAGGATCTATATTCTGTCGTTAGTACATACCCCACCTATCTTAGTACATTTTGTGTTAAAAGTTCATTTTGTGTACAAAGAATACCACAGATTAGGTAATTTATATTTTAAAAACAAACAGAAATTTATTTTCAAACCGTTCTAGAGGTTGGTAAGTCCAAGATCAGGGCATTAGCTTCTGGTCAGAGCCTTCTTGCTGCATCCCTAATATGGTGAAAGGTGAACAGGCAAAAAGTCATGAGAGGAACAAACTGGACTTTTTATAATGGCATTAATCCACCTATAAGGGTAGAGCTCTCATGGCTCAATTGCTTCCCGAAGGCCCCACCTTCCAACACCAACACAATGGCAACCACATTTCAACATGAATTTTGGAAGGGACAAACATCAAAGTATAGCATTATGGAGAAGAATTTCTCAAAATATTTAGCTGACCACTGGTGTCTGTCCCAGATAAGCAACTGCTTGATCTGCATCTGTCCTTAGATATACTTGTCTTTCCATGGATTTGGAGTTACTTGGTTGGCCTGTGATCTTACTTCATTGATGGATTCAAGAATAGTTGTGAATTTGATGATTGCCCAGCTTTGCTGTTGTTGCTGCTGGTGGTGGTGGTATTGTTGAACATCTGAGAATGTTCTATTTTTCTATATTGTATATGAAAACGGGAGTCTTGTGTTGGTAATTGGTGTGCTTGTAGGTGTGTCATTAATTTTTTAAATTGTAATCACCAGTCACATTCCCAAGTCAAATGCAGTGCATTCCATAACTGCATTTACAGTTAATTATGGCCATTAGTGAGTGTCATTTATACAGTGGCATAAGGATAACGTCCAGCTCCCTATCATTAGATAACACGTGGCTATTTGTTGTTGTTTTGTTTTTAGTAAATAGAAACATATTTATCTATAGGTTTTCACAAACTTATTGGAAACATTTAAATGCATAGTTTTATATTTACTATAGGGTTTCAATTTCTTCAATAAAATATTCCTACTACAGAGATTTTAGTTACTTAATTTTTATAAATGAAGTGGTGTTACTGTATGATTTTTAAACATTAATATTATTTTAAATGGAGATATTAATGCAACATGTGCAAAAATTGGGCTGTAATATTTAATCTTAGCAATACATTTTGAAGAAGCCATACTGGTATTCCTTCATGGTTATGGTAACCAGAGAATTGCTTCCCTGCTATTTGGTACAACTGTGAGATAGCATTGCAATGCTTGTCTGCATGCGTTTGCAGATTCAGACCTACTTTTTAATGGCTAGTATACATACACTCATGTAGAAACTAACCAAAAAAAAAACACGTTCTCTCTTAAAATTTTAATTAACTCTGCCTTAACTTTTAAATTTTTACAGCCTGCTTTTACAATATGACTTCTTTATGTAATTAATCTAAAATATTAACCTTTTATGAACTGTTATAAAATAAAATGACTGCAATCCATACTTGTAAAATTATCAATAATAATATTTGATAATTTAGAGAGATTTCATGGGTCCTATGAAGAAATATTTATTCAATAGGTCCAGGGTTAAGTCTTGGAAGTTGAATTTTTAAAACTTTTCCAAGGTAATTATTACAATAAATAGATAGCTACTGGAAACATGTGAAATATTCTTCCAAGCTATTTAAACTCTTTTTAATGTCACAGATTCTGGATTTGTCTAGATTATAATATTCAAGGCCACTGTGGAAATATTGTCAGTATATGTAGATTTACTTATAAACAGTTTCATTTTTCCAGAAAGGAATACATGTACTGTCTATCAGAAGGGCCCTTTATCCTCTGTAAAGCTGAAGTTAGAGCAATTGCTCTTTGTGTTATTTAATCACCCTTACATCAAAATCTGCATAATCAATACATTCTAGAATTGGTGTCAGGGAAAATATCCTGAAAATAATTTGCATCCTTTTTGTTTGAACCATAACAGCTACATATAATTCTACATGTCTTTTTCTTCCTTAGTTAACAGGAAATTATAACTTAACCAAAGTGGTGATAATTTACATTCATTTACTTTTATAATGAATATTTGAATGTTCTATTTTTTACTTACGATTAACATTTCCTTCAACATTAAAAGTCACCAAAATTTTTACAGTAAAATATAAGTAATTTTATTTTGAAACAAATAATTATCAATCAAGATCTTTCCCTTTTTAGGCACATGCAGTTTTCATTGATATTTTCCTAAATTTTAATTCATGCATGTCCTCTGAAAAAAAAGTCCTTTGGTTTTTACTAGACTATTCTGCTTTACCTGATTGTTTCATGAGGAATAATTAGAGTACTGGCTCAGAGCTGTTCTGACTGAATAAAAAAAAAATGAACACTTTTGATAATTTAGATAAAGCAAATTTCCTTTTGTTAAGATAGTAAAATTTAGTGTAATAGGAGGCAAGTTCTTAATAAGATTTTATACAAAATATCTAGCTTTAATAACTATTTGTTTGTCTAGGTTTTTACTTAACCTCTTTAAACCTCAGTTACTCCATCCATAAAATAATGTATTGGTGTCTTCCACTAAATGCTGTTGTGAAGAAGAGTATCAGTTCATTCAAAATACTTAGCCCTCTGTCTGGCACTTACATTCTCAAGAATATTAAGGAGGTCCCACTAATTCAACACTGAGGACATCTAAGAGAGTTCTCATTGTAGCTGCAAATATTATTTAATTTCTTTACATAATGAAATTTCTTCTCTAAACTGAACTTGTGGTGGGCAGGATTAATATCTTTCTGATATAAACATGTATATTTCAAAGGAAAACATTTGGAAAAGACAGAAGAATGAAGATTCAAATAAAAATGATATTTCTCATCATCAGGAGATGAGATTTTTATAGTTAATATTTGACATTTTAAATTTCAGAGTTTTAAAATATAATTTGAAAATGTAAACATATAATTGAAAGTTTATGAATAAGTGGTATAATATATGCCAGCCACTGGGGACAAATAAATTGATGAAAAAAATGGACATGGCCCTTGATCTCACGGTGCTTAAAAATCTACGGCCAATTGAAGAAAACATTTGAAAATCATATACGTGATAGAAGGCTCACCATAGGTAAAGAACTTCTACAACTGAGCAACAAAAACATTTTACAATTAAAAATGACCAAAAGACTTGAAAGGAGCAATTCGTTTCATTAGGTTGTCATTTTGCAATTCATTTTTCTATTTACTTATAAGTTAAAAACACTGCCAATTATTTGGTTAAAGAAAGCAGAGTCCCTTAACGTTCATTTCAACATATACCATGCCTCAGCCCCAGGTTATCTAAAGTATTCGTTTGCTGTTTATTGAAACTGCATTTGGTTGAAATATCATAAAAGATGTTTTGGTACACTCAGACATTTTTTTCTTCTGGGTAAAAATCAGGACAAGGGAATTAGAACCCTTCATTGTTTTATGGGGTCCTAAGAAGACTACTAGGCTAATAGTACTAAAATGAATAATTTTGCTCTTCGCTGGGGTCAGTAGTCTGTTCTTTCAGTGACATAATTTTGAAATGTGGATTTAAACCAAAATTCTAAGAAAGTTTCGAAATCCTTAAGCCTGAAGATAATTTTGGAATTCTTTTAGGAACTAATGATTCTGTTAGTATCTTAAACTTACTCTCCTCATGGTTTTAAAGGAAGATAGGTTGACTTCTTGCATCTTAGATATCATCTATTAAAATGTCACAATTGCCACGGACGCATTTCATAGCAATACTATCTGGACAATCCAATAAATTGTTAGTACATCTTCACCTCAGCCTTTTTATTTTATTAGTAATAAATTAGTATAATACATGAAGTATTACATACAACTAAAGTTTAAATGCAAAGACCTTTTATTCATGGATAACACTGCTATTCGCAGAGCTAAAAAGTTATTTTCTAGACCAGAACTTGAAGCTTCCATTTATAATTTCCTTAACTAAATCTGCCTTTTAGCATATTTCTCCCTGACAGTGAATGCCACTAGCATTTTACTTTCAGCAGTGTTTGCATTTGTTTTTGACAGAGGTTGGCCTTATTACAAAACTGTCCGTTTAGATCAATAAACCCCAAATAACAATTGCCAACTAAGCCAATATTCTCCCCTTTAAAATTTTGGAATCCAATGCAAGTACTGCATAATTTTACCATCTGACATTTTAATTTTCTCTACAGAGAGAAATTACAGACATTTAAACCTGATTTCTCCCACCTTGTGGAATAGTTCAGTCTCTAAAGTGTTTTGTTCTTTTTGTTTCAGATATTGAAGATCAAAGTGTTATCTTATAAAATAATAATTCACTTTCAATGTATGTCAAATAGTTCGTTCAGAATATCTGAAATGTGTTTAGAATATAGAATGAATATAGCATGATTGAATCAGAAATCTGGGATGCATCTTAAATCCTTTCTTTTTCTTTACAAATGTGTTGGGGTCCTTTACCCCAGTATATTTATTCACCATTCCCTAAATAATCCTACAATCTGTCATTACCTTCCTCTTCTTGGCACTTTTGCCACAGTTTACTATCATGCTGTGTCACCTAAACTCTACAACAGGCTCCAAACTAATATTTCTGTTACAGTTCTTGCCTCAACCAATTTGTTCTTTACACTAATATAAAAAAGAACTTCCTAAAAATAAAATGTAGGTTGACTCTCCCATAGGTCCCCATCCCTAGTATAACATAAAATAATCTCTGTTCTGGAACATGCCTGTATTTCCCTTCACCTTTCACACACCTTGCTGCCTATTTAACACTAGCTACATAAAATAATAGTAATAATAAGAAGAAAACGAAAAAGAAAAAAGAGGGAAAAGGGAGGAGGGAAGCAGGGAGTAGGAGGGAAAGGAAGAGGAAGAAGGTGGAGAGGGGAAAAAGGAGAAGAGGAGGAGAAGGAGAAGATGGAAGACTGTTCATAATATTTATTTAGCACTTAGTATGTGCTAGATATCATGTTAAAATTTTTGCATGAATTATCTATATTATGTAATCATCACAATAATCTAAGAGATGCCCACACTCTAAGTGACTATGCTATATGATCTATATTTTTCTACCTTTCTGTATCCTATATTGCCTGGCATAATTCACAATTCAGTTTGTAAGTAACCTCCTTTATGAATACTCTATTAAAATATACGTATTCTAACTCTATGGAATAAATTAGCCACAGCTCTTTTTATTATCTCACTGTATTTTGAACCTCGTTTGGTTTCCCAAACTTCAACATATGAGCTGTGTATTCTTATACATAAGTCTTCAAAGTTCTATGGTAGATTAAAATAAATTTAGACAATGATTAATTATATTTAAAGTTGCTAAGCTGATTGTCTTTGTTCTAAGGTAATGACATTCCTCTCTGAGATATTAAAATGTTCTTTCTTGTATGAAATTATGATAAAGTTTTAAACATCATTAGAGAAAACCAAATTGAACACTGTGGGTCCCCTAATTTAAAATTATTATTAAATAATTCAGTTCAGTAATCTGGTAATTCTTACTATACACTGAAGTTTTATAGAATTTTATATTTATTTTGTGTAGTTTCTCTTCTAGAGTGAAAACTCTTCAATGATAGCAATCCTTTCCTATTAATTTTCATACTCCTGGGGGCAGTATGATTTCCATTTCGTAGTGCATGCTTAATTAATGTTGCTTTTGAATTCAAATGCATATCTGCGAAGTTTCTTTCTAAATCTGCATTTTCGGTAAAATGTCAGTCCTTATGTTTATTCGTTATTTCTTGCTATTAACACTGCTACTATTATTACAACAATTACCAACACTGCTCTCTCACATTACCGCTTAAGTGTTTCATGTGTTATATCTCTCCTTACCCCTCATAAACACATGTTGCAGCAGATGGGGAAAGCTTAATTTTCTCAACTTAGCAGAAGAAGAAAGTGAAGCTCATGGAGAAAATATATTTGATAAGAATTCTTCAATTATGACTTTATGGACCTGGAATCAGAACCTGATTCTTTTGTCAGTTTAATGAAATTTCATGCCCATGGCACCATACGTAAGTTTTTATTTCAGCAACTAGTTTCTAGACCCAATGTTGTTGAGAACTATATCTAATATTTCTTCACAGCAGCAGTATAAGTGTTGTACACAGAAAGAATTTTTTCAAATATCATTCATATTAAATAGTTTGGCTATTCTTTTATCATTACCCAGAACTTAATGCATGGGTGTGTTGAGTGCTTTCAGGGTTTTAAATTGCCTTTCCTTTTAGACCTCATTTAAGATCAACTCAGAATAGACTAATAATTGGCAGCACTTCATTCTGCTGAAGGAATCAGAAATACCACTTAAAACCTGTCTTCTCTAAATGCTGATGCAACATACAATGCCAACAAAATTAGAGATATACTTTCATATAAATTACAGACTAAACACACGTACAGTTGTCCAAATATATTTGGCCAACTTAAAAGATGTTTTCAAAAGTTGAAACCTCCCCATCTCCAAATGGGCCTGAGCTGATATGAAGATGTAAAATTCTAACACCACACAGAGATCACCCAACTTTATAGTTTCAGAGATAAAACGATTTTAAGTGGAAACCACCCTAAGCACAAAATTAAGAGTGAATTTGGGATAAGATTCCGATAACTTTCATATCTCTTTACAAGCATGTATTCTTCAGCCTAAATGCTTCTTCTGAGATCGTTTCTAACCTCACCAACATTTCAAATTAGGAATTTCAGTTTATTTTGCACCCATAAATTACTGTCACACAGGGTTACCTTAGTGGGAAACTGGACAAGAACTCAAATAGGCAGATGAATTTCAAAAAACAAAATATAGGCATATAAGAAAGAATTTTAGAGTAACAACAGGGCTGAAAGCTCTAAAAAGCTCTAAAATCTATGATTAATTTGTGCATGTTCAGAACCACATTATGACTTTTGTGGACTTTAAGCACGTTGCCTTCATACTCTCCTAAAATATTAAAAATTATGTTAAAATTTTAATGATAAAATTTATTTTATAAGGAGGAATATCATCTAAACTGTATTTATTATATTTTTACCATTATGAGATTTTTTCTTCTGATTTTAAAAGAACTTAATATTAAGACATATTTATGTGTCCCTAAATGTATCATAAGACCTAGGTACTCTGTCCAGTGAATAAACCACTCTATTGCATATACATACTTTTTATTCATTATTATAGTAATTTTTATTTTTTTAAATTTCATCCTGAAAATCTACTATTTTCCATTACATTAGAAAATGGAAATTGACCAGCATATTAATATAAGCCTGCATTTTGGCATAGGTGCTTACTCTGTACAATACTTACTCAAGCATTGTTCTAAGTACTTTTACACACATTAAGTCATTCAATTTTTAGAACAATCTTAAGAGGTGGTATTATTTCATCATATCTCTCTGATTACTGCTGCTGCATAAAATATTTAAAACTTAATGTTGTAAAACAACAGTTATTTTATTTTGTTCACAATTCTGTGGGCTAGGAATTTCATAAGGGCTTACCTGGGTAGCTCTTAGTACAAATCTGTCATGCAGTTGTAGTCAAATAACAGCTAAGACTAGCTATCTGAAGCCTGAACTGACTAAATTTCCAAGAAGTACACAGCTGAAAGTTGATGGGAACTATTGGCTGGGCACTCAGCTATGGCTGTTGACTAGATAGATTATTTGAACACCTAGAGTAGTTTGACTTCTTACATGTGGGCTGACTTTGGCCAGAGCAAACAAAGGAAAACAAGTGGAAGCTTTTTCTGACCCAGCATTGGAAGACACATAGCAATGAGTCTGCTGCATTCTATTGGTTACAAGTGAATCACCAAGTCCAGTTCAGAGTCAAGAGGAAGAGACGTAGACCCTAATTCTCAATGGGAGGAGTGACAAAGAATTTGCAAAGCTCTTTTAAAACTGCTACAATTTCGTCTTGCTTGTTGAGAAAACTAGATAGAGAAAGATAAAGTTAGGATGGTCAAATAGAAACCTCCAGCGATTGTCCCCCACATCCCACAGGAAAACCAAATTGAAAAACTAT
This sequence comes from Homo sapiens, assembly GCF_000001405.40. Classification (NCBI taxonomy): domain Eukaryota; kingdom Metazoa; phylum Chordata; class Mammalia; order Primates; family Hominidae; genus Homo; species Homo sapiens. Next base: position 98,920,482 of record NC_000011.10, on the reverse strand, counting down.
CCACATGTGAAAGCACATTCATAAGAATAAAAAAATTAGGTGAGGCCGGGCGCAGTGGCTCACCCCTGTAATCCTGGCACTTTGGGAGGTCGAAGCGGGTGGATAACCTGAGGTCAGGAGTTCGAGACCAGCCTGACCAACATGGTGAAACCCCGTCTCTACTAAAAATATAAAAAGTTAGCCAGGTGTGGTGACTAGTGCCTGTAGTTCCAGCTACTCGGGAGACTGAGGCAGGAGAATTTCCTTTTATTTATTTATTTTTTTATTATTATTATACTTTAAGTTTTAGGGTACATGTGCACAACGTGCAGGTTTGTTACATATGTATACATGTGCCATGTTGGTGTGCTGCACCCATTAACCCATCATTTAGCATTAGGTATATCTCCTAATGCTATCCCTCCCCCCTCCCCCCACCCCACAACAGGCCCCTGTGTGTGATGTACCCCCTTCCCATGTCCAAGTGTTCTCATTGTTCAATTCCTACCTATGAGTGAGAACATGTGGTGTTTGGTTTTTTGTCCTTGTGATAGTTTGCTGAGAATGATGGTTTCCAGCTTCATCCATGTCCCTACAAAGGACATGAACTCATCCTTTTATATGGCTGCGTAGTATTCCATGGTGTATATGTGACACATTTTCTTAGTCCAGTCTATCATTGTTGGACATTTGGGTTGGTTCCAAGTCTTTGCTATTGTGAATAGTGCCGCAATAAACATACGTGTGCATGTGTCTTTATAGCAGCATGATTTATAATCCTTTGGGTATATACCCAGTAATGGGATGGCTGGGTCAAATGGTATTTCTCGTTCTAGATCCCTGAGGAATCGCCACACTGAGTTCCACAATGGTTGAACTAGTTTACGGTCCCACCAACAGTGTAAAAGTGTTCCTATTTTTCCACATCCTCTCCAGCACCTGTTGTTTCCTGACTTTTTAATGATCGCCATTCTAACTAGTGTGAGATGGTATCTCATTGTGGTTTTGATTTGCATTTCTCTGATGGCCAGTAATGGTGAGCATTTTTCATGTGTTTTTTTGGCTGCAGAAATGTCTTCTTTTGAGAAGTGTCTGTTCATATCCTTTGCCCACTTGTTGACAGGGTTGTTTGATTTTTTCTTGTAAATTTGTTTGAGTTCATTGTAGATTCCGGATATTAGCCCTTTGTCAGATGAGTAGGTTGTGAAAATTTGCTCCCATTCTGTAGGTTGCCTGTTTACTCTGATGGTAGTTTCTTTTGCTGTGCAGAAGCTCTTTAGTTTAATTAGATCCCATTTGTCAATTTTGGCTTTTGTTGCCATTGCTTTTGGTGTTTGAGACATGAAGTCCTTGCCCATGCCTATTTACTGAATGGTATTGCCTAGGTTTTCTTCTAGGGTTTTTATGGTTTTAGGTCTAACATGTAAGTCTTTAATCCATCTTCAATTAATTTTTGTATAAGGTGTAAGGAAGGGATCCAGTTTCAGCTTTCTACATATGGCTAGCCAGTTTTCCCATGTCCATTTATTAAATAGTGAATCCTTTCCCCATTGCTTGTTTTTCTCAGATTTGTCAAATATCAGATAGTTGTAGATATGTGGCATTATTTCTGAGGGCTCTGTTCTGTTCCATTGGTCTATATCTCTGTTTTGGTACCAGTACCATGCTGTTTTGGTTACTGTAGCCTTGTAGTATAGTTTGAAGTCAGGTAGTGTGATGCCTCCAGCTTTGTTCTTTTGGCTTAGGATTGACTTGGCGATGCGGGCTCTTTTTTGGTTCCATATGAACTTTAAAGTAGTTTTTTCCAATTCTGTGAAGAAAGTCATTGGTAGCTTGATGGGGATGGCATTGAATCTATAAATTACCTTGGGCAGTATGGCCATTTTCACGATATTGATTCTTCCTACCCATGAGCATGGAATGTTCTTCCATTTGTTAGTATCCTCTTTTATTTCATTGAGCAGTGGTTTGTAGTTCTCCTTGAAGAGTCCTTCACATCCCTTGTAAGTTGGATTCCTAGGTATTTTATTCTCTTTGAAGCAATTGTGAATGGGAGTTCACTCATGATTTGGCTCTCTGTTTGTCTGTTATTGGTGTATAAGAATGCTTGTGATTTTTGTACATTGATTTTGTATCCTGAGACTTTGCTGTAGTTGCTTATTAGCTTAAGGAGATTTTGGGCTGAGACGATGGGGTTTTCTAGATATACAATCATGTCGTCTGCAAACAGGGACAATTTGACTTCCTCTTTTCCTAATTGAATGGCCTTTATTTCCGAGGCAGGAGAATTTCTTGAACCCAGAAGGCGGAGCTTGGAGTGAGACAAGACCGTGCCATTGCACTCCAGCCTGGGCAACAAGAGCGAAACTCCGTCTCAAAAATAAAAGAAAAAAATCAGCTGAGTGACAGCAGTATTTGGTTTTAACATGACATCAAGGAAAGAGAAACTGAAGAGGGTAGAAAAAACAGCCTTAAATTTCCAATGCCATCTTCCCTCATCCCTATGTGCTGGCCAGGGTTGGGGGAAGCACAGTGATCATGGGAGTTTGCATTGGAAATCAGGCTGCCTGTAGCAGCAGAAAGCAAGACAGGGCAGAATTCAGCTGGTGCCCACGGAGGGAGCATTTAGACCAGCCCTAGCCCAAGGGAAATTCTCCATCCAGTCGTTGAAACCTGAGTTCCAACTAGCCCTGACACTGTGAGCTCAAGGGGTATAGAGTCCTAAATAAATGTGAAAGGCTGTCTAGGTCACAAGGATTGCACCTTCTGGAAAAGTTCTAGTGCTGTGTTGGGCTCAGGACCGGTGGACTTGGGGTGTTTGTGACCCAGTGAGACACCAATTGAGGCAGCCAAGGAAGTGCTTATGTAACCCATTCCCCAAACCCAGGCAGCACAGCTTACAGCTCTGGAAGAGACTACTTCTGCTTGAAAAAAAGAGAGGTAAAAATAAAGAGGACTTTGTCTTGCAACTTGGATACCAGCTCAGCCACAGCACAATAAAACACCAAGCGGAGCCTTGAAGCTTCCATTTCAGGCCTTAGCTCCTGGAAGACATTTCTAGACATACCCTGGGCCAGAAGAGAACCCACTGTCTTGAAGGGAAGGACCCAGTTCTGGCAGAATTTATCTTATTAACTGAAGAGTCCTTGAGCCCTGAATAAACATAAGCAGTACTGGCCATGGGCCTTGGGTGAGACCCAGTAAATTTCTGGCTTGATGTGTGACCCAGTGCATTCCCAGCTGTTATTGTCATGGAGAAAGACTCCTTTTTCCTTAGGAAAGGAGGAGCAATAGTTAAAAGGACTTTGTCTTGCTACTTGGATACCAGGTCAGCCACGGTAAAATAAAGCATCAAGGAGACACTAATATCCCTGATTCTAGGTTCTAGGTCTTAGCTTCTGGATGATTTTTTTTTTTTTTTTTTTTTTTTTTTTTTTTGAGACAGAGTCTTACTCTTGTCACCCAGGCTGGAGTGCAATGGCATGATCTCGGCTCACTACAACAACCTCTGCCTCCCGGGTTAAAGTGATTCTCCTGCCTCAGCCTCCTGAGTAGCTGGGATTACAGGTGCCTGCCACCACACCCAGCTAATTTTTGTATTTTTCTAGTAGAGACGGTGTTTCGCCATGTTGGCCAGGCTGGTCTCGAACTCCTGACCTTGTGATCTGCCTGCCTCAGCCTCCCAAAGTGCTGGGATTACAGGCATGAGCCACCACGCCTGGCCTCTGGATGATATTTCTAGACCCATCTTGAACTAGAAGGTAAGCTGCTAACCTGAAGAGAAAGACCCAGGCCTGGCAGGATTTATTTCCTGTGAACTAAACAGCTCTTGAGCCTTAAATAAACATCAGCAATAACTAGGCAATACTCACCATGGGCCTGGGGTGGTGGCAGCCACACAAGAGACTCCTGCTTGAGGAAAGGAGAGGAAAGAGTAAAAGGGACTTTGTACTGCCACTTGGCTACCAGCTCAGCTATAGTAATATAAAAGAAATAGATTTCTAAAGTTCTGTACTCCAGTCCCTAGCTTCTGGACAGCATTTCTAGACCAATCTTGGGCCAGAAGGGAGCCCATCACCCTGAAAGGTAAGACACAGGTGTGGCTGGATGCACCATCTGCTGGTTAGAGCCCTTGGTCCTGGAATATACATCAGTGGTAGCAAGGCAATATTCATCACAGGCCTTGGGTGAGACCCAGTACTGTGCTGGTTTCAGGTTTGGCCCAGCACAGTCTCAGTGGTAATGGTCACAAGGGTGGTTTTGTCACTCCTTCCCTAAGCCCAGGCAATGCAATACAGAGACAAGGACTCCATTTGTTTTAGGGAAAGTAAGGAGAGAGGACCAAAGACTCTGTCTGGTAACCTAGGGACTTTCCCCAGATCTTACGCAAGACCACAAAGATGGTACCTCTAAAAGTCTGCAAAACTCAAAGTGTTCCTGGACTTGGGGCACCCACTAATGCATATATGGCTGCAGTGACCAAAGACTAAGATTACAATGCTCAATTCTCTTTGAATACTTGGAAAGCCTTCTCAAGAAGGATGGGTTAAAACAAGCCCAGACTGTGAAGATTACAATGAAAAGCTAACTCTCCAATGCCCAGACATTGACAAACATCTACAAGGGCCAAGACTATCCAGGAAAACATGACATCAAAAAACTAAATAAGGCACCAGTGACCAATACCAGAGGGACAGAGATATATGACCATTTGGATAGCAAATTCAAAATACTTTTTTTTTGAGAAAAAAATTGAATTTAACAAAATTCAAGATAACACAGAGAAGGAATTCAGAATCATATCAGATAAATTTAACAAACATGTTAAAATTTTCTTTAAATATCAGTGAGAAATTCTGGAGTTGAAAAATTCAGTTGAAATACTGATTAATGCATCAGTCTCTCAACAGAATTGATGAAGCAGAAGAAAGAATTCATGAACTTGAAAACAGGCTATTTGAGAATACATAATCAGATGAGACAAAAGAAAAAAGAAGTAAGAAAATGAAGCATGCCTAGAAGATCTAGAAAATAGTCTCAAACGGATAAATCTAAGAGTTACTGGCATTAAAAATGAAGTAGAGAGAGATAGACAAAGAAAGTTTATTCAAAGGGAAAATAACAGAGAATGTTATTTTCTCTATACCTAGAGAAAGATATCAATATTAAAGTACAAGAAGGTCATAGAACACCAAGCAATCTTAACTAAAGTAAGACAACCTCAAGACATTTAATAATCAAATTTCCAAAGGTCAAGGATAAAAAGCCTATTCTAAAGGCAGCAAGAGAAAAGAAACAAATAAAATACAAAGCAGCTCCAATATGTCTGGCAGCAGACTTCTCAGCGAAAACCTTACAAGCCAGGAGAGAGTGGTAAGACATATTTAAAGTGCTGAAAAAAAAAAAAAACCTTTATCCTAGAATAGTATATCTAGTAAAAATATTCTTCACACATTAAATGAAGTAAAGACTTTCTCAGGCAAACAAAAGCTGAGGGTATGTCATCAACACCAGTCTTGTCCTACAAAAAATGCTGAAGGGACTTATTTAACCTGAAATAAAAGGATGGTGACAATCAATAATAACTCACCTGAAGGGACAAAACTTACTGGTAATAGTAACTACACAGAAAAATACATAATATTGTAACTCTATAATTGTGTTTTGTAAACTAATCATATCCTGAGAAGAAAGACTCAAAGATGAAACTGTCAAAACTAAGAACTAAAACTTTTCAGGATTTAGACAGTATAATAAGTTATAAATAGAAACAACAAAAAGTTTAAAAGTGGGTAGAATGAAGTTAAAACATAGTTTTTATTCATTTTTATTTGCTTATTTGAGAGTTTATATTTGCAATCCATGTTAACTTGTCATCAGTTTAAAATTGTGGATTATAAGATGTTATTTGCAAGCCTCATAACCTCAAATCATAAAAATTGTAACAGATACACATACAAAAAAAGCAAAAAATTAAAACATACCACCAGAGAAAATCACCTTCACTAAAAGGAAGACAGGAAGAAAGCAAAGTAGGAAAAGAAGAACAAAAATAAACAGAAAACAAATAATAACATGGCAGTATCAAGTCCTTACATATAAATAATAACATTAAATTTAAATGGATTAAATGCTCCAATCAAAAGACAAGGAAAGGATGGATGGATTAAGAAAACAAGCCCCAACTGTCTACTGCCTATAAGAAATACATTTCAACTGTAAAGACATAGTCAGACTAAAAATAAAGGGATATAAAAAGACATTCCATGCAAATGAAAACAGATAAAGAGCAGGAGTAGCTACACTTATACCAGAAAAAAATAGATTTCAAGACAAAAAACATAAAAAAGACAAAGAGGGATATTATATAATGATAAAGGGGTCAATTCAGCAAGAAGATATATTTATAAATATATATGCAACCAACCCTGAAGCATGCAATTATATAATACAAATATTATTAGACTTAAAGAGAGAGACCTCAATACAGTAATAGCTGGAGAGTTCAATACCCTACTTTCAACATTGTGCAAATCATCCAGAGAGAAAATTAACAACAACAACAACAACAAAAATTAAACCTAATCTGCACTATAGACTATATGACCTAATAGATATTTATGGAACGTTTCATCGAAAGGCTGCAGAGCACACTTTTTTTCTCCTCAGCACATGGATCATTCTCAAAGATAGACCACATGTGAGGCCACAAAACAAGTCTTAAAATATTTTTTAAATATAAGTAATATCAAGCATCTTTTTGGACTACAATAGAATAAAACTAGAAATCAATAATAATAGAAACTTTGGAAACCATACAAGCACTTCTACATGACCGAGATGCTTCTACATGACCAAGACGTCAACAAAGAAATTAAGAAAACTAAAATATGTCCTGAAACAAATAAAAATGGAAACACAACAATCCAAAACCTGTGGACATAGTAAAAGCAGTAAAGCTTATAGCTATAAACATCTACATCAAAAAGCAGAGAACTTCAAATAAACAGCCTGATGGTGCTAGAAAAGCGAGAACAAACTGAAACCAACATTAGTAGAGCAAAGAAATAATAAAGATCACAGCAGAAATAAATGAAATTAAAACAAATAATACAAAAAGGCAACAAGACAAAAATTGATTTTTTGGAAATAAAAACAAAATTGACAGAAGATAAGCCAGACTAAGAGTAAAAGAGAGAAGATCCAAATAAATAATATCAGAGATGACAAAGGACACATTACAACTAATCCTGGAGAAATTCAAAGGATAACTGGAGATTAATATAAACAACTATATGCCCCAAACTGGAAAACATAGAAGAAACTGATACATTTCTAGACATATACAACCTACAAAAATTGAACCATGAAGAAATCTAAAAATTGAACAGACCAATAATAAGTAATAAAATCGAAGCTGTAATAAAAAGTCTCCCAGTAAAGAAAAGCCTGAGATGCAATAGCTGCATTGCTGAAATTTATCAAACACTTAAAGAGAAATAATACCAATTCTACTCAAACTATTATGAAAATAGAGGAAAAAGGACGACTTTCTAACTGATTCTATGAGGCTAGTATTGCCCTGACACCAAAACTAGACAAAGACATATCAAATAAGTAAAATTACAGACCCATATCTCTGATAAATATCAATGCATAAATCTTTAAAACATACTAGCAAGCTGAATTCAACAGTATATTAAATACATTTATTCCTCATAACCAAGGGGGATTTACTCCTAGGATGCAAGGATCATTTAACATATGCAAATTAATCAATGTGATATATCTTATCAACAGAATGAAGGATAAAACCATAGGATTATTTCATTTGATGCTGAAAATGCATTTGATAAATACAACATACTTTCATGATAAAAACCCAAAACTACTTGGTATAGAAGGAGCATACATCAACACAATAGAAGCCATACACAAAAGACCCACAACTACTATCATACTGAATGGGGAAAAATTGAAAGCCTTTCCTCTAAGATCTGGAACAAGACAAGGATGCCCGCTTTCTTCACGATTATTCAACATAGTATTTGAACTCCTAACTAGAGCCATTAGAGAAGAGAAAGAGATAAAATGTGTTTCAAATTGGGAAGGAAAAAGGAAAATTATCCTTGTTTGCAAATGATATGATGTTCTATTCAGAAAAGCCTAAAGACTCCACCAAAAAACTATTAGACATGATAAATTCAGTAAAATTTCAGGATCCAAAATTAACATGCAAAAATCTGTAGCAATTTTATATGCTGATCATGAACAATCTGAAAAAGAAATCAATAAAATAATCTCATCTATAATAGCTACAAATAAAATAAAATACCTAGGAATAAACTTAACCAAAGACATAAAAGATTCTTACAAGGAAATCTATAAAACATTGATTCAAGAAACTGAAGAGGACACAAATAATGGAACGATACTACATGTTCAAGAATTAGAAGAATAATATTGTTAAAATGTTCATACTACTCAAAGCAATTGACAGATTCAATGCAGCACCTATCAAATCATCAATGGCATTCTTCACAGAAACAGAAACAATAACCCTGAATTTTACAGAGAACCACAAAAGATTCAGAATAGCCAAAGCCATCCTAAGCAAAAAGAGCAAAACAGGAGAAATCACATTACCTTACTTCAAATTATACTACAGAAATATAGTAACCAAAACAGCAAGGTATTGGCATAAAAACAGACACACAGGCCAATGGAAGAGTAAAGAACCCAGAAATAAATCTACTCAGCTACAATAAACTCATTTTTAATAAAGATGCTAAGAATATGCATTTCTGTCTCATCATTAAAATGTGCTGGGAAAACAATATCCACATGCAGAAGAAAGAATCTAAACCCCTATCTCTCGTCATATACAAAAATCAAATCAAAAGGATTAAAGACTTAAGTCTACAACCTCCAACTATAAAATTATAAAAGAAATCTTTGGGAAAACTATCCAAAACATTGGTTCGGGCAAATATTTTTGGGGTAATACCCCAAAATCACAGGCAACCAAAGCAAAAATGTACAAAAAAGATCACATCGAGTTAAAAAGCTTCTGCCCAGCAAAGGATACAATCAATGAAATGAAGAAACAACACACAGAATAGAAGAAAATATTTGCAAACTATTCATCTGACAAGGGTTTAATAACCAAAATATGTAAGTAGCCCAAACAACTCTACAGGAGGAAAACTAATAATCCTATTTGTATTAGTCTGTTTTCAAGCCTTTCTAAAGAACTACTTGAGACTGGATAACTTATGAAGAAGGGAGGTTTAATTGACTCAGTTCCCCAGGCTTAACAGCAAGCATCAATAGGAGGCCTCAGGAAACTTACAATCATGGTGGAAGATGAAGGGGAAGCAAGCACATTTTACCATGGTGAAACAGGAGAAAGAGAGGTGGCGGGGGGACCTGCCATATACTTTTAAATCCTCAGACTTCATGAGAACTCACTCATTATAATGAGAACAGCACTGGGGAAAGCTCCCCAGTGATCCAATTACTTCCCACCAGGTCCCTTCCTTGACATGTGGGGATTACAATTTGTTATGAGATTTGGGTGAAGACACAGAGCCAAACCATATTATTCCACCCCTGGACCCTCCCAAAGCTCATGTCCTTCTTCCATTTCACAACAAAATCATGCCTTCCCAACAGTCTCCCAAAGTCTTAACTTATTCCAGCATTAACCCAAAAGTTCAAGTCCAAAGTCTCATCAGAGAGAATGCAAGTTCCTTATGCCTATAAGCCTGTAAAATCAAAAGCAAGTTAATTACTTTCAAGATACAATTGGGATACAGGCATTGGATCAATTCTCCCATTCCCAGTGGAAGAAATTGGCCAAAACAAAGCGGGTACAGGCCTCATGCAAGTCTGAAACCCTGCAGCATAATCATCACAGCTCAAAGCTTTAAAATAATCTCCTTTGACTCCAAGTCTCACATCCTGGTCATGCTGCTGCAAGAACTGGGCTCCTAAGGCCTTGGGCAGTTCCATCTCTATGTGTCTGCAGAATACAGCCCTGTGGCTGCTTTCATGCACTGGTGATCAGTGCCTGTGGCTTTTCCAGGTGCTTGGTGCAAGGTGTCAGTCTACCTACCATTCTGGGGTCTGAAGGACAGTGGCCCGCTTCTCACAGTTACATTAGGCAGTCCTCCAGTGGGGACTCTGTCTGGGGCTCCAACCCCACATTTCCTCTCTGCACTGCTGTGGTTGAGGATCTCCATGAATGCTCTGCCCCTGCAGCAGACTTCTGTCTGGACATTAAGGAATTTCCACACATCCTTTGAAACCTAGGTGGAAGTTCCCAAACCTCAACTCTTGCCTTCCGTGCAGCTGCAGGCACAACACCACATGAAAGCAACCAAGGCTTGGAGACTGCGCCCTCTGAAGCAATAGCCAGAGCTTTATCTTTTCCCCTTTTAGACACAGCTGGAGCTGGAGTGTCTGGGGAACAGGGCACCATGTCCTGGGGCCACACAAAGCAGCAGGGCCCTGGGCGAGGCCCACAAAACAATTTTTCCCTCCTAGGCTCACAGGCCTATGATTGCAGGGGTTGCCACAAAGATCTCTGAAATGCCCTGGAGATATAGATATTTTCTCCATTGTCTTGGCTATTAATATTTAGCTCCTCATTATTTATGCAAATTTCTGTAGCTGGCTTGAATTTCTCCCCAGAAAAAGGATTTTTCTTTTTGGCCCCATGGACAGGCTGCAAATTTTCCAAACTTACACTCTGCTTCAATTTTAAACATAAGTTCCAATTTCAGACTATCTCTTTGTGAACACATACGACTATATACTTTCAGAAACAGCCAGGTTACATATTAAATGTTTTGCTTCTTAGAAATTTTTTTTTGCCAGATACCTGAAATTATTTCTCTCAAGTTCAAAGTTACACAGATGTCTAGGGCAGGGAAAAAATGCCACCAGTTCCCTTGCTAAAGCATAGCAAGAGTGATTTTTACTCCAGTTCTCAGTAAGTTTCTCATTTCCCTCTGTGACCACCTCAACTTGGACTTCATTGTCCATATCACTATCAGCATTTTGGTCACAACCATTCAACAAGTATCTAGGAAGTTCCAAACTTTCTTACATCTCCCTGTCTTCCTCTGAGCCCTCCAAACTATTCCAACCTCTGCCATTTACCCAGATCCAAAGGTGATTCCACATTTTCAGGTATCTTTATAGCAATATCTCACTTTCAATACAATTGTCTGTATAGCTCATTCTTGAATTGCTGTAAAAAACTACCTAAACCTGTGAGACTGGGTAATTTATAAAGAAAAAAGGTTTAATTGGTTCACAATTCTGCAGGCTCTACAGAAAGCATGACTGGGAAGGTGTATTATTCTATTTTCACACTGCCAATTAAGACATACCTGAGACTGTGAAGAAAATAAGGTTTAATGGATTTACAGTTCCACATGCCTGGGAAGCCTCACAATCATGGTAGAAGGAAAGGAGGAGCAAGCCACGTCTTACATCGATGGCAGCAGGCAAAAAAAGAGAGCTTGCGCAGGGAAACTCTCATTTTAAAACCAAGAGATCTCAAAAGACCCATTCAGTATCATGAGAACAGCACTGGAAAGACCCACCCCCATAATTCAATCACCTTCCACTGGGTTCTTCCGATGACTTGTGGAAATTGTGGGAGTTACAAATAAAGATGAGATTTGGGTGGGGACACAGCCAAACCATATCATTCTGTCCCTAGTGCCTCCCAAATCTTATGTCTTCACATTTTAAAACCAATCATGCCTTCCCAACAGTTCTTCAAAGTCTTTGGACTGTGGACTTTTGAGTTAATGCTGAACTGAATTATGATTTTGAGACAAAGTAAGTCCCTTCCACCTATAAGCCTGTAAAATCAAAAGCAAGTTAATTACTTCCTAAATACAATAGTGGTACAGGCATTGGGTAAATACAGCCATTCCAAATGAGAGAAATTGGACAAAACAAAGTGTCTATAGGCCCCATGGAAGTCTGAATTTGAGCACAGCAGTCGAATTTTTAACCTCCAAAATGATCTCCTTTGACTCCATGTTTTCACATCCAGGTCAGGCTGATGCAAGAGGTGGGTTCCCATGGTCTTGGGCAGCTCCACCCCTGTGGCTTTGTAGGATGCAGCCTCCCTCTGGGCTGCTTTCACAGGATGGCATTGTGTGTTTAGCTTTTCCAGGCACATGGTGCAGGCTGTCAGGGGATCGACCATTTTGGGATCTGATGGATAGTGGCCCTCTTCTCACAGCTCCACTAGGCAGTGCCCCAGTGGGTACACTGTGTGGGGGCTCTGACCCAACATTTCCCTTCCACAATGCCCTAGCAGAGGTTCTCCACAAGGGCCCCACACCTGCAGCAAACTTTTGCCTCAACAACCAGGCATTTCCATACATCCTCTGAGATCTAGGCAAAAGTTCCCAAACCCCAATTCTTGACTCCTGTGCACTTGCAGGCTCAACACTATGTGGAAGCTGCCAAGGCCTGGGGCTTTCACCTTCTGAAGCTCCAGCCCAAGCTCTAGGTAGGCCCCTTTCAGCTATGGCAAGAGAAGCTCCGATGCAGAGCACCAAGTCCCTAGACTGCACACAGCACAGGGACCCTGGGCCTGGCCCATGAAACCATTAATTTCCTCCTACGCTTCCGGGTCTGTGATGAAGTGGGCTGCCATGAAGTCCTCTGACATGCCCTGGAGACATTTACCCCATTATCTTGGGGATTAACATTTGACTTCTCATTACTTGTGCAAATTCCTGCAGCCAGCTTGAATTTATCCTCAGAAAATGGGATTTTCTTTTCTATTACATTGTCAGGCTGCAAATTTTCCAATCGTTTATGCACTGCTTCCCTTATAACACTGAATGCCTTTAATGGCACCCAAGTCACCTCTTGAATACTTTGCTGCTTAGAAATTTCTTCTGCCAGATACTCTAAATGATCTCTCTCAATTTCAAAGTTCCACAAATCTCTAGGGCAGGGGCAAAATGCTGCTAGTCTCTTTGCTAAAACATAACAAGTGTCACCTTTGCTCTAGTTCCCAACAAGTTCCTGATTTCCATCTGAGACCACCTCTGCCTGGACTGTTTTGTCCATATTGCTATCAGCCTTTGGGCAAAGCCATTCAACTAGTCTCTAGGAAGTTCCAAACTTTCCAACTTTTTTCCTGTCTTCTTCTGACCTCTGAAAACCATTCCAAACCCTGCCTATTACCCAATCCCAAAGTTGCTTCTACATTTCTGGGTATCTTCTCATCAGCGCCCCACCCCCAGTACCAATTTACTGTATTAGTCTGTTTTCACACTGCTGATAAAGACATACCTAAAACTGGGCAATTTACACAAGAAAGAGGTTTAATGGACTTACAGTTCCACATGGCTGGGGAAGCCTCACACTCATGGCAGAAGGCAAGGAGGAGCAAGTCATGTCTTATATGGATGGCAGCAGGCAAAAAAAGAGAGAGCTTGTGCAGAGAGACTCTCATTTTTAAAACCATCAGATCTCTTGAGACTCATTCATTATAATGACAACAGCACAGGAAAGACCTTTCCCATAACTCAATCACGTCCCACTGAGTTCCTCTCATGACATGTGGGAATTGTGGGAGTTACAATTCAAGATGAGATTTGGGTGAGGACACAGCCAGAACATACTGTGACGCCTCAGGAAACTTACCGTCATGGCAGAAGGTGAAGGGGAAGCAAGTGTTTCTTACTATGGTGGAACAGGAGTAGTAGGGGGAAATCCCACACTCTTTTAAACAATCAGAACTTTTGAGAACTCTCTCATTATTACAAGAACATAATGGGGGAAATCTCCCCCATGATCTAATCACCTCCCACCAGGTCCCTCCCTCAACATGTGGGAATTACAATTCAACATGAGATTTGGGTGGGGCACAGAGCCAAACCATACCACTATTTAAAAATGCACAAAACATCTGAATAGGCATTTCTCAAAAGAAGATATACAAATGGCAAACAGGTATATGAAATTGTGCTCAACATCACTGATCATCAGAGGTAAGTAAATCAAAATTCCAGTTAAATAACTCCCTCTAGTTATAAAAGACTTTTATCTAAAAGATGGGTAATAAGAAATGCTGGTAAGGATATGGAGAAAAGGAAACCCTAGTACACTCTTGGTGGGAATGTAAATTAGAACTGCCATTATGAATAACAGTAGAGCGGTTCCTCAAATACTACAATTAGGTTACCATATGCTCCAGCAAACCTCCCTGCTAGGTTTATATACAAAAGAAAGGAAATCCACATACAAAAGTAATATCAGCACTTTTGTGGTTTTAGCAGCACTAATCATAATAGTCAGTTTTTGAAATCATCCTAAGTGTTCATCAACAGACTAATAGATAAAGAAAATGTGATACATATACGAAATGGACTACTACTTAGTGATAAAACAAGATCCTTTCTTTTGTACCAATATGGATGGAACTAGAGGACATTTTGTTAACTTACATAAGCCACATCCTGAAAGACACACTTCATAGGTTCTCATTTATGTGTGGGACTTAAAAATTAAAATAATTGAACTCATGGAGATAGAGATTTGAATGATGGTTACCAGAAATTGGGAATGGTAGTGGGTGAAGGTGGGAGGGGATGGTCAATGGGTACAAAATTATAGACAGAATGAATAAGACCTAGCATTTGGTAGTACAACAGGGTGACTACAGTCAACAATAATTTATTGTACATTTAACAATAACTGAAAGAGTATAATTGGAATGTCTGTAACACAAATAAATGATAAATGCTTAAGGTGATGGATATCCCACTTATTGTCATATAATCAGTACATATCACATGCCTATATTAAAATATCTCATGTACTTCATAATTGTGTACACCTACTATGTACCCATAAAAAATAAAAATTTTAAAAAGGAAGATAAATTTCTTTCTATGAGTACACAACTAATAAATGGAGAATCTAAGATCTATCTCAAGTAGTTCTGGCTCCAGAGGACTGACTGTTAACCACCCTTATGTGATGCCATCTTTTAGACAGGGTTAACATACTCTAAGTATCCACTCTGTGATGTAACGTCAGGTTAATTTACTTCAAATCATGTCCAATTATTGTTCACCTTTCTTTTGAATGATAAGCAAGGACTATTAAAAAATGGAACATAATTCCTTGAGCCCAATTTTACTATTTAAAGCTGGGCTAGGCAAATGATGTCCTATGGGTCAAATATGACCCAGAAGTTGTTTTTACAAATAAAGTTTTATTGGAACAAAGCCACTCTCATTTGTTCACTTATTTTCTATGACTACCTCTGTGGCACAATATCACTGTTCAGCAGTTGTGACAGAGACCTTAATAAGTAATCTCTACAATATCTATCATCAAAGCCTACAATATTGACCATCTGGTCCTTTAAGAAAATATTCACCAACTCTATTTAAATGATCAGCTGTTGTGGCAAGAGATAAAACAGTGTTATAACAAGATACATTAAATAACTAGACAAATATCTTTAAGTGAGCTAGTGTGGAAATTAATACTAGAATACAAGTAACTTTCTTAAAGTGAACATTCATTTTTATTTTATCATATCTGCACTTTTTCTAGAGGTAGTAACATTGTATTGCAGAAAAAGTGTCATATAATTGAATATATAAATTTTAGAGAAGCATTATGATACAGTGCTTATGTGATTTCAAACCATACATTTGAAATTAATACAAAACACAAAAAAGTATTTGTAATTATCAACAATTTCTATTCAGCCTCAAATCCTTCATTTCCTCAAATGAGATTTTTATTCTTAATCAATTACTGTATTTAAAGTATATTGGATCTCAGTAACTCATTTTAGAATGTAGTTATAGCCTTGTTCGTGTTACAAGCATAATTGTTGGATATATTTACATCAGGTTGGTCCCAAGAATGTAAAGTGATAATAAGAACTCAATTTTTAATTTTGAAGACACTGTAACTTTAAATGATCAAAATATTAATGGACAGAGTGCAGAATATTCAGGTGACACCCAGCTCCATCTTGGGATTTATAAATGGTAAGCTTTTTTTTTTTTTTTTTTTTTTTTTTGGTGGTGGGGGAATCAGTCAGCCTAATAATTTGCCTTAGATAAAGCTGATCAAAAAAAAAAAAGAGACCAAAACATGTGAAAACATAACAGGATTTCAAATCCCATAGCTACCAAAAATCATGGGACAGGCATTTATAATTTAATCTTATCTAATGAAAGTATACAGGGTTCAATAGATGGTAAGAAATTATGGAAAATAAAGAATATTTTCTGGACTGGCTCTTGCATTTTGGGGGAAAACACTACACTATTTCATATAAGAATAAATATCTTTTTGAGAAACTTGCTTAAAAATTACATTTGGAATGTAAGCTAAACTTGGAGTAATGTATGAATCATAGTGGACAAGTTTTGTAACTGGAATAATTATACTTAAAAAGAACACTATATGTCTAGTTAATATTTATTTTTTAATCTGAATATATTTTTGGATAAAATAGCCAATCACATTTTAATATGACAATACACACTTTTATTACTTCTCCAATTGATATTCCTTTTCTAATCTTTATAAAACCTCTCTAGAGTTTTGATATTCTATAATTTATTCCTCCTAACCCTCTTTTCTATCCTCCCATTTATCTTCTTTCTGTATTCCACCTAAGCTGGCTTCCTTGGACTATATCTCATGCTTTGGAACCTCCTAAATTAAAACTTCCCTGACTTCTCCTCTGACAGCTCAAACACAATCTGCCTACTATATAATTTAGTAGTGAGAGAAAACGAGAGAAAAGAAAAATGGACTGAAATGTTAATGTGAGAAACATGTTATCCCTATGCCGTCTATAAAATTATATTTTATAGTTTAATTTTAATTTCAAAGCTTATATATTGGAACTAAAATAAAATAAAATCCTAGTGACAGTAATTCTGGTTTTACTACAAGAAATAAATTCAGGTGTTTTAGGAGAAGATAAGATCTCATGGCCAAAATAGGGGAGATATTTTACTTTACGTTGTGATTTACAGTGTTCCTTCACATCAAATAGTAATTCTTCTCAAAAATGACGTAGGGTTAGTTATGGTTTATAGCACTGATTGTTCTCTTCAATTTGTAAAAGCCCTGTGGTTCTTAAGGGGAAACTCTCATTAAGTGGTAGAGAGAGGCTGATCAGTCCACAAAATAATCTGAGAACCTCAAGAAAGGTAAAAGTAGAACCAGAAAGACATGTAATTACAAGAACCAAGGCAATAAATTTTTTTCTGGGAAGACACATGGCCAACAGTGTTAAATATGGGCAAATCAAAAATAAAAATGAGGATTAAATTTCTTTCTTAGATTTTTTTTGACAGGACGGACACCGATAAGCAAGTCTGACTGCAGAGGATTAAGGAGAGATAAGTATATGAGGAATCGTTTACAGCCTGAGCAAACATGTGTTTTAAGAAATATCGGTAGGAAAAGGTGTAAGAGAGAAAGAACAGTAGCAAGTATAAGATGAAAGATAAAAAGACATTTTTTCTTTTTAATTAATGGAAAAACATGTTTAAATGATAATGTGAAGGTGATAATAGAAGACATGGGAGATACATGAGAGAAATGGTGGGAGTCGTGATCTGAAGCACAGGTGAGGAAATTAATTCTAGACAGAAAGAGAAATGCTTCAATGTAAGAAAAGGAAAACTAGGCATGCACGTCGGTCATTTCTTCTCAGTTCCTGGCCCCATCACCTGGAAAGTATCCTTTCTCCCAGTGGAGAAACCTGTTAAGCCCTCTGAGGAAAACATGAACAACCAAAAACTAAACCTGATGTGAGGGTGCGCCAGCTCATATCCTTGACAAGAGTCCCTTAAGTGTTAACTTAGAAGATCAACCCACTACTATTAAGATACTGAGAAGTAATAGGTATTTGAATAGGAAGCCAGGATAAGACTGAGAAAAATACCTAAATCTATAGCCCCCAGGAATGAAAAATATTACTATATGTAAGGAAAGAATATTATTTGAAGAAACTTAGGAAATCTTTGTAACAATTTATTAGAAGGTAAGGAAAAAGATTGCATTTAGAAGCTCTATTACTATGGATAGCAGAGAAATGAACAATAAGACAAAAGAAACCAGACTCACGTTAATCTGAAATTTTCTGCCCCTGTCTTTCGTGAGGTTCTTTAGTAGATACTTTGACTATAGTTAAATAAATCAGGAGAGACATTCAGATTTGGATATATAAATCTCATTTAATTATTGCTATATTTTTTGACTTTGGTATAATCTTCCTAATTTTTCAGATGGGGAACAGAGGCTGAGGAAATTCAAGTATTATGTTCCAGATTCCAGAACCAGCAAGAAGCAGCTTCAGAATTTGAATCCAGCTTTCTGGGAGTCAACACCTGTGTATCAACTGTTTTACTATCACTAAAGGGGCCTCTGTCTCATAAAACAGAAATTTGATTATTTGGACTCAAGCTTATTAGAAATAATATTATGTCTTTGCCTGTGTTAGTCTTATGCTAATAGAAAGCAAACAGACTAACAAAAATAATTAACAAAACCCCTTACCCCAAAATATAGTTACTAATACTCCAAGGTAATATCATTATGCTTTTCCCCACAAGTCAGTCCTTGAAACCACCTCAAAACCAATCAAGATCCCTGATCTTGAGATTCATGACAGCCAATATAATTTAATTATTAAGAGAATAGGATTGTTCCACCACTTCCAATCCTGTGCCTGTAAGAATATTACTTTAGCTACGATTCTAAAATACTTTTATCTCATGCTGTTGTTGGGAGGGTTAAATCAGACAATGTATATAAACTATTTAACATAGGCTTATCATATAGAATGTAGGGAATTAAGTTATTGTTTATTATTATTATTATTATTATTATTGCTCTCTGGCACCTCAAGGAAGAGGTAGAGACAAATTGGGCAACTTCAAAAGTAGTTTTGAAAGAAGCCTTTAGCAGCTGAGGTGAGTAAAAGTGAAGGTTAAGTCTCTAGTTCCCTAGGTCAGGAGTTCCAGACACTCAAACACATGGCTAATGAAGATTTCAGTGGTGAAGAAAGAAATTCAAAGGAATGCTCAGATATTTCAGAAGTGATACCCTGTGATTGGTATTACTTATGGACCATTCTATAAATCACTTTTATAGAGGGAGTAACTAGTTTAAAGACGAATGCTTAATTGCAAGATTTCCAGTTTGTTTATTTTCTCTTGAAGATGTAGTAGTTGATTTCATGGCCTACATCTATAATTTTCATAAAACATCTATTTAAATGTACACTGTTCAATTTTATTCAATTACTAATTTCTTTCATTACGTCTTAATCCAAAGAATTGATTCAAAAAGGAAAAAAAGTATTTTAAGTAGGAATATGTTTTTAGATTAGCTTTTTTCATTAAAAGCAAGATTAAAAGCTATTCATTAGATAGAAAATACGGAACATGATATTGGAATAGTTCATTGTACTAGAAGGCAAGGAGGCACTAGGAAAAAATAAAAAGGCAATAAAAGGATGATGTCTAATGGACACAGGAGCCAAATGAAAGAGCTCTCAATGGCCCAAAGTGGAACAATTTAAGCAACAAAATAAATAATGTAGTGTTGAATTATAACTCAAGGGATAAAGTAAATATCCATAAGTCCATACTGATATAAACAAATGATTGAATGAATGAAAAAAAATGGGGAAGAAGAGACAAATCTGCGGTGCAGAAGAATTTCAAATGATGTATGTTAATATTCTACCTTCAAGATAAGGGAGTACATAACTCCCTACTCCTTAATTGTGGTCTGGACATAGTGACTTCCTTCAGAAAGGTATAGTATGGAAATATAAGAAAAGAATAGCTTTAATTTGAAGAAACCTGAAAAACACTACCTCATATCCAGGTCAATATCAACTTGATAAGTAATATTGACAGTGATAAGATGTGATAAAAATGGCGATTTAGGGGCACACACACATCAAAAAAGAAAACGGAAATTTAACAATGTGGTCATCCTTGTCGAAACACATAATACCCATCTAATCATGAGAAAAACATGAGATAAATTCCAATTAAAAGATATCCTACAAAGTAACTGACCAGTAAATACTTTTCAAAACTGTCAAGGTGATCAAAACCAAAGAAAGTCTAGTAAACTGTCACAGCCAAGAAGAACTTGAGATGTGATGAGTAAATGTAATATGGTGTTCTGAAAGGGATCCTAGAACAGAAAAAGAACACTAGGCAAAAACGAAGGAAATCTGAGTAAAGCGTGGCCTTTAGTTAATGTGTCAATATAGATTCATTAACTATAACAAACATCCCATACAAATTTAAGATGTTAATTAGTGAAGCCAGGGTACAGGATATACAGGGGGTCTTTATGCTACCATTGCAAAGTTCTGTTAATCTAAAACTGTTCTAAAAATAAAGATTATTTAAAAGAGAGCTTATTCGTTGTCAATTGGATCTTTTCACAGAAATCTACAGATTCAAGTCATTGTTTATTCTGAACTTTAGTTGCATTAAAGATCATGTTTATAGTGCTGAGGCTACTTCTAATAATAAATATTTAAAATAACATCTTGTAGATAAAAATAATTACAGCATTTCAAGAAAAAACTTGCTGCATGTATCAAATTATAATAAGCATGGTCATAAAAATGCTTGGTGACTTGTGCAAACTTCTGAAACAGACAAAACCACACTTTCAGATAGACTTTATCCATACAGAATTGCTTTCTTCTGTTTAATTCATTATAAATATAAGTGATAAATTATTAATTCATTGCATATAATGTTCATATTGAACAGCATCTACTAGCTACTGTCTGCCATTTATTATTTGTAGTGCCTCATATTAAAGTGCTGAGATGCTTGGTTTTCTTTTTGAAATGCCACAGGGTAGATCATTATAATGAAAACATTCTTCATTTTCCAAAGTATATTTCTGATTTTACTTCTATTTTGCAATTGATTTATGAAAAGCAATTTAAATTGTCAATCACTGTCTTGGCATGGTTTAAGTGACAGATTTTGCTTAGACTGGTACAAATTAAACAGTTTTAGATTCAAATAAGGGTTTTCTCCTCCGACTTTTACAAATATTAAAAGTTTACAAGGGGAATTTATGTCGTCACACAAAAGGACAGTATTCTTTCGATTACAAAAATATACATGTCTTTTCAAGACAGTCATTGTTTTCACTGGAGTGGAAATCACATTCCATCACTTTCTTAGAATAAAAGCAATTTGAGCCAATACTTTCCACAAAGAAAATGAACCAAAAATGAGCCTTTAAAAAAATGTGTCTTCATAATTAAGCATGTAAACAGGCATACACAATTATTTAACAAGCTCTTTTTATGTGCCAGAAAGTAGACTATTTCAAACTAAATAACGAAAAACATGGAAAATATGAATATCTGCAGGGTATGCATATACACATGTGTATTGTTATAAAATAATAATACTTTTAATTATCTTTCTTTTCCTACAGTATACAAAGATTCAGATTTTTGAGTTAAGTTTTTTTCTATTTACCCTTGCTATGTTATTATTTCTAAAATTAAAATCGTTATTATTTTTAAGTATGTTTTCTCTTAATTTAGGTATCAAAGAGGACCTATGAAGGGGCAGGTCCCTTTCAGCCTATCAACTCTATGTAGGGTAACTTGGTGGTTTAGTTTAGAACCATGGGACCAGCACCAATCTTTTTTGCCTGGAAACTATACTATAGCCTTCTCATACTCTAGCCACCCTCGAGGGAGTTGGTATATCCTTACAAACCTCCCCTACCCCTTACCTCCAGTTAAAGAAGTTGAGTCAAAGATGGCACTTGAAAAGTATGAAAAATAAGTTCTTCTCTTGGATTTCTTGTCTTGGGCTTAAGAAAATCTGTCTTTCCATTGGATGCACCTGCAATATATATGACACAGAAGTAATGTTTTCCATGTTTTAGCAAATTATCTTCTACTGGCAGATAATAAGGAATCCAGCACATACAGTGGAAATGGGAAATACAAGTACATACTCAAAATATTCAATCATCAAGTTCTGCTCGTTTCTAAGGCTTACCTACAAACTTCTCTTTAGCAGACGCTGTTCTCCTCCAGTTCCTCGTGAATCTTTTTTTTTTTTTTTCACCAGTTCGGAGTACTCATCCCACAGCTTATTGCACTTTCCTGCTAATTGCCCACACAGGTACCTGCAACCTTCTTCAGACGGTTGTCTTTGGCCTCTGGAGACTCCCAGATATTTGGACAGCTCTAAGAAAACTTCATTAAAACAGATGACCTCTATGCTTAAATGATGTATAGATACAAATGCTCACTCTTTTCGATATTTAAAAAAGAAATTCAGGTATAATTTACACCCCAGAGCTTCCTGAAGGACTAGCCTGACTGTGGGGCCTCACCTGAAATCAAACTTTTGATGAGCTTCTTCCTTTCTTCACTTTCTAATTTATTTCTCCTGGAAGTGTTTTCTTTCATACATTATGTGCACCTGAATCCCTGGCTCAGGCTTTGCTTCTGGGAGAACAGAACTTACAACACAGCCTTTCTGCCTGACTGATTAGTCTCAGTTTGTTCATGGAGTTTGAATAGATTCTGCTTTCTCTTAAATTAATTTGCCTTGGGTTTCTGTAACTTGCTTCTGAGGAAGTTTTAAATATAGAAAAATCCCCCCAAAATATTATAAGTGGAGTCTAAAACAATCAAATGTGAAAAATGTTGGGAATTCATTATTAAGCAATAAATGAAATGATCTGCATCAACCTTCTATAGAAAACTGGAGCTAATGATCAAATACTAACATCCAAATTTGAGTAATTTCAAAGAGTTCTATAATAGGTTTCATTTTAATATTGATAACACCTTTCTTCCTATTACATTACTATATTTGGAAAGGCATTATAAAAGATTTCATTTCCAGTGGTAAACTATTAGACAATCATAAAACATTCTTATCAAATAATATTTTATTTATACAAAGCCACCATAGGCTTGGGTGTTCAAATGTGGTTGTCCTCATCCATAAATTAGAAGGTTGAGTAGGTAAGTAGAGATAATGCATGATGTAAATATCTGGCACACAACATGAAATTAAAAAATGTTTTTCATTCATATTTTATAAATTTTTCTCTGATCATTAATCATAATTATAGTTTTTTTATTAATAAATGTATATTGAAATTATCTCATATACTGTTTAATTTTTAAAAAGAAAAAATTGTTTTTATACAAAAAATAAGCTGAATTATGTAAGTTATATTATTTCCCAGTTTTATTTTCCCTCAGCCAATCATTACTAGAATACTTTCTTGTCAAAGCTGGGTCAGTCACCTGAATTCACCAACATATTTGTTTGGTTTTTCCTTTAAGTTCAATCAGTGGTTCTCAAATTTTATCATACATCAGAATCATTTGGAGGCCTGATTAAAATATATATTTCTAGGCCCTAACTTCAGAGTTTCCTCTGTTCCTCCTCCTTCTCCTCGTCCCCATTGCCCTCCTCTGTCTCCTCCTCTCCCAGCTTTTCTTCTACCATTTTTTCTCCAAGTAGCAGCAGTACCTCTCCATTACTTACTAAATAAATGAACATACTTGTAGAAACGCTTATAGGAAAACCTTAATTTCTTGTCATTATAATTACTGTAGAAACTATTGTTCAGACTCTAGGTTTTCAAAGTGTTTGCTGAATGAGTGAATAAACAACCTTCCTCACATCTTTGAAGTCACATATGTCCACATTTTTGCTTTCGACCACTTTGTTAGATCATAAAACATTGGTTGTATTTCTTCTTTTCTTCATTCTGTTGAAACCATTCCATCACTTTTGAAAAATTTTAAATGCAGTTAAGTTTTTCACAGATGCTTCTTGCTGAATTTTTCTCATATTGTCTTTTCTTTACATGCCTCAATATGTTCATACATTTGAAAAGGTTATTTCAAGTCAACTTTATTTTTATATTATATATTTAAATTACAGTCATTAAATATTGTGAGGGGAGTCGGAGAAAATAATTATAAAGTTTTTTAAAATACCAAATCAGTTTTAACACTTTGGTATATTTCCTTCTACTTTTGTTTTATTTTGTTTTTAGCAAGTGGATCTTTCAGTTTAACAGAACAGATTTTTTTTTTTTTTAGAAAGTACAGCAATAGAAATTGAGGCTTCAGAAAACTGATGCAAGTGGATGGTTTATGTATTTGTAACAATAGACTACCGCAATAACTAAATCTATATAGTCATTAGTTCTGCTAATTTTCTTTGCCCTGATTCAATTTGATAGCTATTGTTTGTACTCCTTTTATTCCAGAGCTTCCAGCTGGTAGTAGTCAACACACTTATGTCAAACACAATTTTAAAGGCCTAGCTCTAGGGCTTTCACAGCTGTGGCACCAGATAGTATTGCAGTTCTCATAGCTATCCTTCCTCCTCCTCCAAATTTTCATAGACTATTCAATCAATAGGTATTTTTTAACACATTCAAATCATTTAACAGCATCCTAGAAATAGAAATAGCTTGGAAATCATACACATACAGACAAAAGTTTGAATTTTAACTTTTCAGTTCATTAATTATGTGACCTGGCTCAAATTAATCAACCTCTCTGAAACTCTATCTGTAAAGTCAAATCATACTTCATCTCTCACTTTATAGACTATATTGCTGTATTAAAGAAGACATAGCCTGCAAAATATAAAGCATAATCTACCATATGCCAAGAATCATATACCATCTTTGTTACCTCAACCTGCACAATCATAAGTGACTTCCCTTTTTCTCTTTTTTTCTAATTTCTGATTGTCACAGTTCCCATATATTTGTCTGTACATACAGTCTCATGAACGTCATTGGTTGCTATGACTCCTCCACTATGTTGATAGACCTCCCACAGAGTGCCTTGATGGCAAGTTTCCCTACCTTATTGTAGTAGATTTTTATTTTTCTTTGTAAGCTAACCTACAGAGATGATGCATTTGTTGTCTTTGTTGAAAAACAAAAACAACAACAAAACAAACACTTGGCAATAAAAAGAGTATTTATTAGTAAAAAGCCCATTTTAGAAATTGCAATAAACTATATCCTATTTACAATATGAAATAGAAATGTCAGATTATGCAGTTTTATCCTAATTATTGAAAATAGAAAATATTTTTTCTCAGTCTTAATGAAAAAATAAACCAAAGAGAATAATAATCATAATAGCCTGGTGACATGGTATGGGTCTGTGTCCTCACCCAAATCCCACCTTGAGTTACCACATGTTGTGGCAGGAACTCAGTGAGAGATGTTAAAATCATGGGGGTGGGTCTTTCCCATGCTGTTCTTGTGATGGTAAATAAGTCCCATGAGACCTGACGGTTTTAAAAAGGCAAGCTTTCCTGCACAAGCTCTCTCTTTGCCTGCTGCCTTCCACGTAAGATGGGACTTGCTCCTCCTTGCCTTCTGCCATGATTGTGAGGCTTCCCCTGCCATGTATGTAAGTCTGATTAAACCTCTTTCTTTTGTAAATTCCCCACTCTCAGTTATGTCTTTATCAACAGTGTGAAAACAAACTAATACTGTAAATCGGTACCAGTAGAGTGAAGCATTGCTGAAAAGATGAGCAAAGGTGACTCTTGTTATGCTTTCGCAAAGGGATTGGCAGCATTTTTCCTCTGCCCTAGAGATTTGTGGAACTTTCAACTTGAGAGAGATGATTTAGGGTATCTGGAAGAAAAAAAATTTTAAGCAGCAAAGCATTCAAGAGGTGACTGGGGTGCTGCTAAAAGCATTCAGTTTTATAACGGAAGCAGAGCATGGATGTTTGGAAAATTTGCAGCCTGACAATGCGATAGAAAAGAAAATCACATTTTTCTGAGGAGAAATTCAAGCCAGCTGCAGAAGTTTGCATAAATAACAAGGAGCTGAATGTTAGTCCCCAAGAAAATGGAGAATTGTCTCCAGGGCATGTCAGAGGTCTTCACAGTAGCCCTTCCCATCACAGGCCTGGAGGCTTAGGAAGAAAAAGTGCTTTTATGGGCCAGGGCCAGGGTCCCTGTGCTGTGTGTGCAGCCTAGAGACTTGGTGCCCTGCATCCCTGCCACTCCAGCCATGGCTAAAAGGGGCCAATGTAGAGCTTGGGCTGTGGCTTCAGAGGGTGCAACACTCAAGGCTTTGCAGCTTTCACATGGTGTTGACCTTGCAAGTGCACAGAAGTCAAGAATTGAGGATTGGGAACCTCCACCTAGATTTCAGAAGATGTACGGAAATGCCTGGATGGGCAGGCAGAAGTTTGCTGCAGGGGCAGGGGTTTCATGGAGAACCTCTGCTAGAGAAGTGTAGAAGGGAAATGTGGAGTTGGAGACCCTACACAGAGTCCCTACTGGGGCACGGCCTAGTGGAGCTGTGGGAAGAGGGCCACCCTCTTCCAAACCCCAGAATGTTAGATCCGCCAATGGTTTGCACCATATTCCTGGAAAAGCCACACACACTCAACATCAGCCTGTGAAAGCAGCTGGGAGGGAGGCTGTCTCCTGAAAAGCCCCAGGGGCAGAGCTGCCGAAGACCATGGGAACCCACCTCTTGCATCAGCATAACTTGGATGGGAGACATGCAGTCTAAGGAGATCATTTTGGAGCTTAAAGATTTGACTGCCCTGCTGGATTTCGGACTTGCATGGGGCCTGTAGCCCCTTTGTTTTGGCCAATTTCTCCCATTTAGAATAGCTGTATTTACCCAATACCTGTATTGCCATTGTATCTAGGAAGCAACTAACTTGCTTTTGATTTTATAGGCTCATAGGCTTAAGAGGCTTGCCTTTTCTCAGATGAGACATTGGACTGTGGACTTTTAAGTTAATGCTGAAATGAGTTAAGACTTGCAGGACCATTGGGAAGACAAAATTGGTTTTGAAATGTGAGGACTTGAGACTTGGGAAGGGCCGGGGGTGGAATAATATGGTTTGACTCTGTGTCCCCACTCAAATCTCATCTTGAATTCCCATGTGTTATGTGAGGAACCTGTTGGGAGATGATTGAATTATGGGGGCGGGTCTGTCCCGTGCTGTTCTCATGATTGTTAATAAGTCTCATGAGATTCGATGATTTGAAAAAGGGGAGTTTCCCTGCACAAGCGCTATCTTAGCCTACCGCCATCCACTTAAGATGTAACGTGTTCCTCCTTGCCTTCCACTGTGATTGTGAGCCATCCCCAGCCATGTAAAACTGTAAGTTCAATTAAACCTCTTTCTTTTGTAAATTGCCCAGTCTCAGTTATGTCTTTATCAGCATCATGAAAATGGACTAATACATTTGGTGATTAGCAATGTAATACAAATAAAGACTTATGAGTATAAAATTGAACTTATATATCATGTTTTCACATGTTAAAATGACTTTTGAATGCGATCGTAATGTAGTGTTCTTTACCTGGTATTACAGAAAATATTCAACAATTTATCTAAAATTTTCAGTGTTCATAAACACACATACAAACACACACACAGAGAAAATACATTTATTTGACAGAAATTTGACAAGAATTAGGACAATCATGCATAACTAGCATATTACTCTATTCAGTTGAAAATAAACATTGTCTTTGGTTGTAGAGCTACTTTTACTATCCTGCATCTCTCTTTATTGATCGAATTTTTCCAGGTGTTTAACACAACTTTTATTATTGATTTAAATTTGGATATTAAACAAATTTGTAAATAACACAATATTAAAAAAAGAAATCTCAAAAGAAATTTGAAAAAATATTTGAAGTACATGAAAATACAAATTATCAAAAATTATAAATGTGATAAAGGCAGTGCTTCGAAGGAAATTAATAGTAATGAATCCATACATTAATAAAAAACAAAGATCTACCATCATTAATCTAATATTCCACCATTAAATACTAGAAAAAGGGAACCAGTTAGATAAACAAAAGGGTGAAAAAAATAAAAATAGAGCAGAAATCACTGAAATTTACAACAGAAACTCAATAGAAAAAAATTAACAAACCTAAAAGCTGATTCTTGAAAAGATCAATACAATTGATAAGGTTCTAGCCAGGCTTAGAAAAATGAGGAAAGACAAAAATTACTACTATAAAATATGAAACAGAGGACTAGTTGTAGACCACCACTTTATTGCTGTGTCCTCACATGGCAGAGATAGAGAGAAAGCTCTGGTGTCTCATTTCCTTTTCATACGGCTGTAATGCCATCATGGTATATGCACCCTCATGACCTCATTTCGAAGTCCTACTAAAGGCCCCATCTTCAAGTATCATGACATTGTGAAATAGGGCTTCAATATAGGAATTTGGGAGAAGACATAAACATTCAATTTATAATTCAGGGTTAATACACAAAAAACAATCACTTTCCTTTATGTCAGCAATGAAAAAATGAAATTTGAAATAAAAGACATATTACCATTGAAATTAGCACGCCCCTGAAATGAAATACTGATATAGTGTGGCTCTGTGTCCCCACCCAAATCTCATGTTGAGATGTAATTCCCAGTGTTGGAGAAGGCCTTGGTGGGAGGTGACTGAATCATGGGGGCTGAATTCCTCCTTGCTTTTCTCATGATAGTGAGTAAGTTCTCACAAGACCTGGTTGTTTGAAAGTATATAGCACTTCCCCCTTCACCCTCCCTCTCTCCTGCTTCGCCATGTGAAGATGTGCGTGCTTCCTCTTCACCTTCTGCCATGATTGTAAGTTTCCTGAGGCCTCCCTAGCCATGCTTCCACAGCCTGTGGAACTGTGAACCAATTAAAACTCTTTTGTTTATAAATTACCCAGTCTCAGGTAGTTCTTTACAGCAATGCAAGAATAGACTAATACAGAAAATTTGTACCAAGAATTGGGTATTGCTATAAAGATACCTGAAAATGTGGAAGCACTTTTAGTACTGGGTAATGGAAAGAGTTTGGCACAGTTTGGAGAGCTTAGAATGAGACAGGAAGACGAGAGAATGTTGGAAACTTCCTAGAGACTTGATAAATTGTTGTGACCAAAATGCTGATAGTGACAGGGACAATGAAGTCCAGAATAATTTGGTCTCAGATGGAGATGAGAAGCTTATTGGGACCTTGAGTAAAGGTCACTCTTGCTATGCTTTAGCAAAGAGGCTGGCAGCATTGTGCCCCTGCTCTAGGGATCTGTCAGAAATTGGAACTTGAAAGTGTTGATTTAGAGTATCTGGAAAAAGAGATTTCTAAGCAGCAAAGCATTCAATATTTGACCTGGCTACTTCTAACAGGGTATGGTCATATGTAGAAAATAGATTACCTGAAATTGGAACTTATATTTAAAGGGAAGCAAAGTGTGAAAAGTTTGAAAAATTTGTGGCCTAACCATGTGGTCAGAAAGAAAAATGAAAAAAAAAATTTTCTGGGGAGGAATTCAAGCTGGTTGCAGAAATTCATATAAGTAAAGAGGAGCTGAATGTTAATATCCAAACAATGTGGAAAATTCATCAAAGAGAGACATTCACCGCAGAACCTCTCATCACAGGCCCAGATGCCTAGGAGGGAAGAACGGTTTTGTGGACTGGGCCCAGGGCCCTTCTCCCCTGCATAATGTCAGGACGCTGGTTACTGCATCCCAGGCACACCAGCCATGGCTAAAATGGCCCCAGATATGTCTCAGGCCACTGCTTCAGAGGATGCAAGCCACAAGAAACCTTGGTGGCTTCCAAGTATAAGCCTGAGGGTGTGCAGAGGATAAGAGTTGAGGCTTGGGAGCCTCCACCTAGCTTTCAGAGGATGTATGAAAATTCCTCAATGTACATGCAGAAGTTTGCTGCAGGGATGTAGCCCTCATGAAAACCTCCACTAGGGCAGTGCAGAGGGAAAATGTGGGGCTGGAGACCTCACTCAGTCTCCTCTGGGGCACTGCCTAGGGGAGCTGTGAAAAGAGGCCCATTGTCCTCCAGACCCCAGAATGGAGATCAAGTGATAGCTTGCACTGTGCACCTGGAAAAGCCCTAGTCACTCATGCCAGTCCATAAAAGCAGCCAGAGGGGCTGGACCCTACAGAGCCAAAGAGGCAGAGTTGCCCAAGGCCTTGGGAAACATCCCCTTGCATCAGTGTGCCCTGGATATGAGTCATGGAGTCAAAGGAGATTATTCTGGAGCTTCAAGATTTAATTACCACCCTGCTGGGTTTCAGAATAGTCATGGGGCCTATAGCCCCTTTGTTTTGGCTGATTTCTCCCTCTTGGAATGGGAGCATTTGCCAAATATTTGTACCCCTATTGTATCTTGGAAGTAACGAATTTGTTTTTTATTTTGCAGGCTTATTGGGGGAAGAGACTTGCTTTGTCTCAGATGAGATTTTGGACTTGGACTTTTGAGTTAATGTTGGAATGAGTTAAGCATCTGGGATACTGTTGAGAAGGCATGATTTTGTTTTGATATTTGAGAAGGACCTGGGATTTGGGAGGGCCAGGAACAGAATGATATGGTTTGTCTCTGTATTCCCACCCAAATCCCATGTTGAATTGTAATTCTCAGTGTGGGAAGAAGAGCCTGGTGGGAGATGACTGAATCATGGGAATGGACTTCCCCCTTGCTGTTTTCATGATAGTAAGTGAGTCCTCATGAAATCTGGTTGTTTACAAGTGCATAGCACTCCCCCATTCACTCTCTCTCTCTACTGCTCTGCTAAGTAAAGATACGACTGCTCCTCTATCTTCTGCCATGATTTAAGTTTCCAGAGGCCTCCTCAGCCATGCCCTCTATACAGCCAGCAGAACTGTGAGCCAATTAAAGCTCTTTTCTTTACAAATTACCCAGTCTCAGGTAGTTATTTATAGCAATGCAAGATCAGACTAATACAAATACTTAGGTATAAATCTGACAAAATGAGTAAAAACATTTGAGGAAAACTATAAACCCCTGATAAAAAGATATCAAACAAATAAATAAATGGAGAGATATTTCATCTTCATAAATAAATATATTCATTATTGTCAATACATGAGTCCCTCAAAACTTGATCTATAGATTTAATATAATGTCAATCAAAATTCCAGCAAGTTATTGTGCATATATTTAAAAACTTATTCTAAAGATTATATAATATGAAAAGGCAGTAGACTCAGAATAGCCTGCTCGACACTGAAGGAAATGAACAGAGTTGGAGGACTGACACCACCAGATTTACAGATTTATTATAAATCTACAGTCCTCAAGACAGTGTGGTAGTTCCAAAATGATAAACAAATAAATAGAATAGAATGGAAAATCCATAAATAGACCTACATAAATATAGTCCATTGATCTTCTACAATGAAGCAAAAGCAAGAAAATAGAGCAAAGATAAACTTTTCAGTGCATGATGCTAGAATAACTGAAACTCCAATACAAATTTATGTATTTTTATTTCATACGTATTTACATATATATGAAAAGTAAATTAACATCTATACACACACCTTTACAGATCTTACACCCTTCATGAAAGTTGACTCAAAATGAATCAGACATAAATATAAAACACAAAGCTATAAATCTGCTAGAAGATAATTTGAGAGAAAACCTAGAGGACATTTTGTATTACAATGACTTTTTAGATATAGCACCAAAGACATGATTGATAAAAATAAATAATTGCTTAGGTATACTTCATTTAAATTAAAAACATCTGCTGTGCAAAAGGCAATGACAAGAGGATAAGAAAAGCCACAGGCTGGGCAAAAGTATTTGTAAAAGACACACCTGATAAAACATTGTTACCCAAAATATAACAAAATCGCTTAAAACACAACAAGAAAATGAACAACCTAATTAAAAAACAAACAAAGACACTAACGGATACCTCACCAAGGAAGATGTCAGTGGCAGGTAAGCAGGTGAAAAGATGTTCAACAATAGGTATCATTAGAAAAATGCAAATTAAGATAATCATAAAATACCACTCTGTATGTATTAGAATAGCCCAAATCTAGAACTCTGACAACATCAAATGCTGGAGAGGATGTGGAACAAGGGGAACTATCATTCATTGTGGGAGTACAAACTGGTATAGCCACTTAGGGAGACTGGCCATTTCTTACAAACATGCACTCATTATATGATGCCACAATCACGATCCTTTGTATTTACCCAAATGACTTGAAAACTTATTTCCACACAAAAACCTCCATCTGGCAGTTTATAGCAACTTTTTTCATTAATGCCATAACTTGGAAGCAACCAACATGACCCTCAGTAGGCGAAGAGATAAATAACCTGGTACATCCAGACCATGAAATATTATTCATCAGTAAAAAGAAATGAGTTACCAAGTCATGAAAAGACATGAAGGAAACTTAGGTACATATTACTAAGTGAAAAAGCCAATCTAAGAAAGCTACACACTGTATAACTGCAACTACATGACATTTTGGAAAAGGCAAGACTATGGGACACTAAACGGATCAGTGGCTGCCAGGTACCAGTGGGAGGGAGAAATTAATAGATAGAGAATTTTTGGAGCAGTGAAATTACTCTGTAGGTACTAAAATGGCAGACACACACCATTTTATATTTGTCCATACCCACAGAATATACAGCACCAAGAGTGAATCCAAATGTAAAATATGGAAGGGTAATAGTGACATGACAATGTAGGTTCATTGATTTGTAACTAATGTAGTGTCTTATGTTAACAGTGGAGGAAGTTGGCTGTGTTGGGGATGGGGTGTATAAGGGACCTCTAAGTACTTCCCACTCAAGTTTGCTGTGAACCTAAAACTGTTTTTTAAAAATGGTTTACTGATGGCCGGGCACGGTAGCTCACGCCTGTAATCCCAGCACTTTGGGAGGCCGAGGCGGGCGGATCACAAGGTCAGGAGATTGAGACCATCCTGGCTAACACAGTGAAACCCGGTGTCTACTAAAAACACAAAAAATTAGCTGGGTGTGGCGGGTTCATGTAGTCTCAGGTACTTGGGAGGC
The DNA here is from genome assembly GCF_000001405.40 of Homo sapiens. Lineage (NCBI taxonomy): Eukaryota > Metazoa > Chordata > Mammalia > Primates > Hominidae > Homo > Homo sapiens. Next base: position 98,887,542 of record NC_000011.10, on the reverse strand, counting down.
TGAGGCAGGAGAATGGCGTGAACCAGGGAGGCGGAGCTTGCAGTGAGCCGAGATCGCGCCACTGCACTCCAGCCTGGGAGACATAGCGAGACAGCATCTCAAAAAAAAAAAAAAAAAAAAAATGGTTTATTGATTAAGAAATTAATCAAATTTAAGTATATTAATGTAATATACTGAACTAATAGAATGAATTAAAACCCACAACTACAAAATTGTCTCAACTGGTGCAGAAAACATTTGGGAAAAAAATCTAACACCATTTTATAATTAAAAACACTGAAAATAGAGAGAACTTACTGAAAATAATAAATAGAATTTATTTAAAAGCCCACAACAAACATACACTCAATGGTAAAATTATACAAGCTTTCATTGTAAGGTGAGAAACAATACAAAGATGTCTGTTTCTGCCACATCTGTTTAACATTGTACTGGAAATCCTAATCATAGCAATTAGGCAAGATAAAAAAATAAGTCATCAAATTAGAAAGGATAATAAAAAAATTTATTTGCAGATGACATGATCATGTATGTAGAGAATCCTAAAAGACATAGAAAAAAATATAGGAGCTAATAAATGAATTCAGCCACAGGATACGAGATAAACACTCAAAAATCAGTTGTTAGTTTTACACACAAGCAATGACCAATCTGAAAGAAAATTAAGAAAAAAAAATTCATTTAATTGCCTTAAAAAGTGAAGCATCCCAGCACTTTGAGAGGCCGAGACGGGCGGATCACGAGGTCAGGAGATGGAGACCATCCTGGCTAACATGGTGAAACCCCGTCTCTACTAAAAAATACAAAAAATTAGCCGGGCGTGGTGGCGGGCGCCGTAGTCCCAGCTACTCGGGAGGCTGAGGCAGGAGAATGGCGTGGACCCGGGAGGCAGAGCTTGCAGTGAGCCGAGATCACGCCACTGCACTCCAGCCTGGGCGATAGAGCAAGACTCCATCTCAAAAAAAAAAAAAAAAAAAAAAAGTAAAAGTAAAGCATAAAATGCAGACAAAAACATTTATCCAAAGAGAGTAATAATCATACACTAAAAATTTTATGACAATTCTTACATAAATAGAGTGATAGCTCATGTTCAGGAACAGAAAGATTTAATGTTAAGATGTCAATAACACTCAAAGTTATCTACAGATTCAATGCAACCTCTACCAAGATTAGAATAACCTTTTTTTTTTTGCAGAAAGTAAAAGCAAGGCCTAATATTCATATTAAATATTCAGGGGACCCCAAATAGCAAAAATAATCTTGAAAAATAAAACAAATTTGGAGGACTCACTTTTCCAGATTTCAAAACCTGATACAAAGCGATAATAATCTAAGCAGTATACTACTGCATAAGGATATTCATACAGAAAAATGGAACACAATTGAGAATCAAGAAATAGAACTATACATTTATGGTAAATTGGTTTTTGGCAATGGTGCCAAGGACATTAAATAGGGGGAAATAATAGCCCTTCAATAAATGCTGCTTGGAAAACTTGATCCAAGTTGTCCACATGCAAAAGAATAAATTTGGATCTCTACCTTACCCCATATACAAAAATTAACTAAAAATGAATTAAATACCTAAATTTCAGAGATAAACCTACAAAACTCTTAGAAGGAAACATAGGAATAAATTGATATGACCTTGGATTTGGCAATGTATTCTTAAATATGACACCAAACATTAAAGGCAACTAAAGAAAATTAGACAAATTGAAGATCAAAATTTAAAAAAAAACTTGTAAACACTATTGGAGGACATTATCAGGAAAGAGAAAATAGCAACCCATAAGATGAGAGACAATATATGCATATTTTATGTCTGTTCAGGGTCTGGTATCCAGAATATATAAAAACAACTCTTACAAATCAACAACAGAGAGGGATAACCCAATTAAAAAATAGGCAAATGATGTGAATAGACATTTATCAAAAGGAGACACATTATACAAATGACCAAAAAGCATATGAAAATATGCTCAATGCCATTAGTCAGCAGGAAAATGCAAATTAATAACACACTATTACACCACTTTACAGTTATTAGGATGGCTAAATTTTTTTAAATTGGAAAATATCAAATATTGGCGAGGACATGTGGAAATTGGGACATTCATATCTTGCTGGTAGGAAAGCAAAATAATGGTGCAGCCACTTTAAAAACAGTTTGGTGGCTTTTTTTTCTTTTCTTTCTTTTTTTTAGAAAGAGTCTCACTCCTGTCATCCAGGCTGGAGTGGAATGGCAAAAAAATAGCTCACTGCAGCTTTGACTTCCTAGGCTCAGGTCATCCTCCTACCTCAGCCTCTGGAGTAGCTGGAACTACAGGCACATGCCGCCACGCGTGGTCAATTTTTATATTATATTGTTAGTAGAGAGGATGTTTCATTATGTTGCCCAGGCTGGTCTTGAACCCCTGGGCTCATGCAATTTGCCTTCTTCGGTATCCCAAAATGCTGGGATTACAGGTGTGAGCCACCCGGCCTGAACCTGGTGGTTTCTTAATAAGTTAAACATAGAATTAACACGTAAGTTCAAAATTTCTCTTCTAGAAATATGTCCAAGAGAACTGAAAGCAGGCATTAAAACAAACGTTAGTACATGGAGATTTATAAGACCACTATTAACAATAGTGAAAAAGTAGAAACAACTCAAATGTCCATGAACAGATGAATAAACATATTTAATATGTCTATAAAATGGAATTTTTCTTTTTTTCAACTTTATTTTAGATTCAGAATGAATGTGTCAGGTTTGTTATTTGGGTATATTGTGTGACACTGAGGTTTGAGGTGAGGTATGAATGATCCCATCACCAGGTACTGAGTACAGTATCCAATGGTTAGTTTTTCAACACTTGCCCTTTCCTTCCTTCCTCTAGTAGTCTCCAGTTTCTATTGTTGTCATCTTTGGTCCATGAGTACTCAATGTTTAGCTTCTATTTATGGGTGAGAATATGTGGTATTTGTTTTTCTGTTCCTGCGTTAATTCACATAGGACGATGGTCTCCACCTGCACCATGTTGCTGCAAAGGACATGATTTCATTCTTTTTTATGGTGATGTTGTATTCAATGGTGTATATGTACAACATTTTCTTTATCTAGTCCACCATTGATGGGCATCTAGGTTGATTTCATGTCTTTGCTATTGTGGATAGTTCTGTGCTAAACAGGTGAGTGCATGTGTCTTTTTGGTCGGGTAGAACAATTTATTTAGTATTGGATGTATACCCAGTAATGGGATTGCTGGGTTGAATTATAGTTCTAAGTTCTTTGAGAAATCTCCAAACTGCTTTCCACCAACAGTATTATAAGCCTTCCCTTTTCTCTACAGCCTCACCAACAATTATTGTTTTTAAATTTTTTCATGATTGCCATTCTGACTGGTATGAGATAGTATTTCAATGTGGTTTTGATTTGCGTTTCTCTGATTAGTGATGTGAGGGAATTTTTTCTGCTTTTTGGCTGTTTGAATGTCTTCTTTGAGAAATGTCCATGTTTTTTTGCCTATTTTTAATGGGGCTCCTTATTTCTTGTTCAGTAGTTAAATTCCTAATAGATTCTGGATATTAGACCTTTTTTGGATGTGTAGTTTTAAACATTTTCTCCCATTCTGTATGTTGTCTGTGTACTCTGTTGATAGTTAATTTTGTTGTGCAGACACTCTTTAATTAGGTCCCACTGGTCAATTTTTGTTTTTATTGCAGTGCTTCGAGGACTTTTTCATAAATTATTTCCCAAGGCTGATAGCCATAATGGTGTTTCCTAGGTTTTCTTCTAGGATTCTTACAGCTCAAGGTCTTACATTTCAATCTTTAATCCATCTTGAGTTAATTTTTGTATATGGTGAAATGCAGGTTTCCAGTTGTATTCTACATATGGCTAGACAGCTATCAGAGCATTTATTGAATAGGGAACCCTTTCCACGTTACCTATTTTTGTCAACATTGTTGAAGATCAGGTGGCTGTAGGTGTGCAGACTTATTTCTGGCTTCTCTATTCTATTCCACTGGTCTATGTGTCTGTTTTTGGACCACTGCCATGCTGTTTTTGTTACTGTAGCCTTACAGTATACTTTGAAGTTGGGTAATTTGATGCCTCTGGCTTTGTTCTTATTGCTTAGGTTTGGTTTGTCTATTTCAGCACTTTTTTGATTCCAAATGAATTTTATAGCTTTTTTTAATTAGTTCTGTAAAAAATGATGTTGGCACTTTGAAAGCAATAGCAATGCCTCTGTACTTTGGGCAGTATGGTGATTTTGGCTTTAGGCAGTATGGCCATTTTAAAGATATTGATTCTTCCAATCCATATGCGTGGAATATTTTTCCATTTTTCTGTGTCATCTCTGATTTATCAGTGTTTTGTAGTGCTCCTTGTAGATATCTTTTACCTCTTTGATTAGTTGTATTCCTAGGTATTTGTTTTGTGGCTACTGTACATGGGATTGCATTCTTTATTTGGCTCTCAGTTTGAATGTTATTGGCATATAGAAATGCTACTGATTTTTGTATATTGATTTTGTATCTTGAAACTTTATTGAAGTTGTTATCCAGGAGCCTTTTAGTGGAGTCTGCAAGGTTTTTGAAGTATACAATAATATTGTCTGCAAAGAGAGATAGTTTGACTTCTTCTTTTCCCATTTGGATGCCTTTTATTTCTTTCTCTTGCCTTATTGCTCTGGCTAGCACTTCCAGTAATATGTTGCATGGAAGTGGTGAGAGCAGTACCCTTGTTTTGTTCTAGTTCTCAAAGGGAATGATTCCAGTTTCACCCCCTTCAGTATAATGTTCACTTTGGATTTGTCATAGATGGCTTTTATTAATTTGAGTTATGCTCCTTCAATGTCTGGTTTCTTAAGCATTTTTATCATGAAGGGATTATGATTCTTATTGAAAAAATTTTCTGCATGTATTAAGATGATCTTATAATTTTTGTCTTTAATAATCTTTATGTGATGAGTCACATTTATTGATTTGCATGTGTTGAACCAACCTTGCATCCCAGGAATGAGGCCTACTTGATTAGGGTGAATTAAGGTTTTGGTCAATAATTTTCTTGCATTTGTGTACATTGGAGGCATTGGCCTGTAATTTTTTTCTTTTTTTGTTGTGTCTGTGCTGGGTTTTGGTATCAGGGTGATGCTAGCTAGCTTAGTATACTTTCAGGAGAATTGGTACTAGCTCCTCCTCGTATGGCTGGTAGAATTTGTCTGTGAATCCATTTGGGTCCTCAGACTGGCTTCCTTAGCTTCTCAGCTTGCAGATGGCCTATTTTGGGACCTTGTGACTATGTGAATTAATACTACTTAATAAAATCCCATGTATATACATACATATATATGGGAGTTTTATATATATATATATATATATATATATACACACACAAACACACATATATATGGGATATATATGTGTGTATATATACACACATATATATATCCCATATATATATGTGTATATATACACACATATATATATCTCCTATTAGTTCTGTCCCTCTAGAGAACCCTAATACACTATATATATACTTTTTAATATTTTTTGAAAAGTAAAGCATATAATGAATTTGGCAGGTTACCTCTAATATTGCCAGAGAAAGAGTAGTAAAAGAGAGTATAAGCTCAAGGATTCAAATCCCCAGCTAAATCATCACATAAATGATCTGCGAGCGTCTAACTGTGCCCTGAAAGAGATCTTAACCTGCTATCACCACAGGGCTAAACTTGCCGAAAAATTACATATAGAATATGATCCTGTGACTGGCTAAATGCAACACAAGTTAAAACTTTCAGCCTTAAAGGTTGTCTACCTGTTAATGTAACGGTAATGAATAGAGACATGTGAGAACACCATGATGAAGCTGGGGACATTGAGCCACTAAATTTCATGTCTAATTTGAGTCTCCTTTGTCAGGAGATGAAAGAAGACTCCGCACTCCCAGTGAAAGCAGCCTTCTCCCCCTCCCATGGGTTGTGGCCTCTCTAACCGTAAGGGGATTAACCCTGCATTGCCTAAAGTAAGACACTCCCTTGAGGCAGTTTTCATGTAAGACAGTGGTGATTGTCCTCATCACCCATCTCCACTACCATTCTTTTTTTTCTAGACCTGTAACTAGACTCTAGTCCCAGCAGGCAGCTTAAAGTAAGGTAGAAAGTATGACCTGTGAGGAAGTACAATGCATTGAAAAATAATAGCTTGAGTTTTCTAATTTACACAGAAGGGAATCTAGGGAATATGTACGGGAATTCATTTGGAGGGTTTGAGATAATGGTAGAAGAAACATAAAGTTGGATTAGGCCAAATTTATTGATGTAAAGTCCATAAGCAAGTATTCTGCATTTAATCTTGCACATTGGAGAATTAGGAAGGACTCTGAGTTTGTTTCGTTGATTGTCTAAAACATAAATCAAAAGCTGGCCCACAGTAAGTGAATTAGATATGTCAGACCTTCTCTGATTTTATGTAAAGGAAGGATTCAAAGTTTAGGGAAATTGGTGTGTTACAGTGGATTTGTCACTTAAGCCCTACTAACCCACACTGCATGGGTTGAGAAGACATATCTTCTATCACTACTCTAAGAAATAAATTTATGAGGGAAGCCACAGCATCCTTGAAGAGCATATGATTACTCTTCCCTTGAACTCCAGTCATTGAATTGGGAAACTTAAATGCAAACGGAGTAAATAATTACCTGGTGGTGGGGACCAAGTGGCAGCACTTGACTAACAAAGCCAAGGTGGGCATAGGTACCATCATAACAGAGAGCAGTCAAATTGTCTGACTTATTAAGTCCCATGCCACTGTGTAGTGGACCATGGTATTCCTGGAAGTGGAATACATAAGAAACCTACCAAATTTTTACTGAGCTATAAAAACAGAAAAGTTTCAGATCAAGTAAACGAAAGTCTAACCTGAGTTATAAAAAGACAGAGAGTCACTGCCACTTCATCAAGTACTATAATTGAGCCAGTTTACACACCAAGACCCTCTTGAATGAAGGTGAGGCCAGGTCCCCTTATGGAAGGAACATGATTCACTAACAAAAACATACTGTTAATCTTGTTGTCTGCATTTCCCAAAGGGGCATACTCACTTTTACCAGGATAACTGTGCATTGGGAAATAATAAACAGGACTTTCGCATACTACTAGACACAGGCTCTGAATTGGCAATAACTCCAGGGGACCCAAAACATCATGTGGTGCACCAGTCAGAGTAAAGGCTTATGAAGGTCAAGTGATCAAAAAATCTCAGCTCAGTTCCATCTCACAGTGGGACAAGGGGGCTCCAAATCCAATCTGTGATTATTTCCAAAGTTCTGGAATGCATATTTAGAATAAATTTACTCAGCAGCTGGCAGAATCTGCCCATTAGTTTCTTGACCTCTGAGGTGAGGGCTATTATGATGGAAAAGGCCAAGTGGAAGTCAATAGCACTATCTCTAACTAGAAAAATAGAAAACTGAAAGCAATAGTACATTCCTGGAGACATTTAAAATTAGTACCACCATAAAGACACGATGGCTGCTGGGGTGGTGATTCCCACCAAATCTCCATTCACTCACCTATTTGGCCTGTGAAGAAGACAGATGTGCCTTGGAGAATGACAATGGATTACTGTCAGCTTAACCAGATGGTGACTCCAACTGCAGCTGTATTGTGAGATTAAATTTCATTGCTTGAGCAAATGAACACATCTCCTAGGCAAATGCCTTTTTCTCTATTCCAGCCAACAAGGCTGACCAGAAGTAGTATTATTTCAGATGGCAAGTCAGTGATACGCCTCCACTGTTTATTTGGTCTGAATGTACGTGATGCTTCCAACATTAACGTTGAAACTTAATCCCTGGTGTAACAGTATTAAGAGATGGTGCCTTTAGGGGGCAATAAGGACATGAGGGGTCCCTTGTTGAGGATGGGATTAGTGTCCTACAAAAGTGATTGAGAAAGTAAATTCAGTCCCTTTTGTCCTTTTATCCCTTTTGCCTTGTGAATACACAGCATTCAAAGTGTCATCTTGAAAGCAGAGACTGAGGCTCTCACCAGACATAGCCTGCCAGCGCCCTGATCTTGGAAGTTCCAGCCTCCAGTAGTATGAGAAAATATACTTATGTTCTTCAAAACTTACCCAGTCTGAGGTATTTTGTTATGGCAGCACAAGCAAAACAAACTGAGACAGAAATTGCTACCAAAATTGAGGTGTTGCTATACAAAATACTTAAAAATGTGGAAGTAACTTTGGAACTGGGTAATAAGTAAAGTATGGAAGAGTTTAGAGGTACATGCTAGGAGAAAAATGATTGCTATGAACAGAGCATTAAGGGCAATTCTGGTGAGGGCTCAGAAGAGGAGAGCTGTGTAAAGTGCCTACATATTTTTGGAGATTATCTAAGTGGTTGTGATCAGAACACTGGTAGAAATATGGACACTAAAGTCTACTCTAATGAGTTCTTAGATTGAAATAAGAAATACTTTACTGGAAACTTGAAGAAAGGTTATTCTGGTTACAAACTGGCAAGGAATTTGTGTGAATTGTTTCCGTGTCCTGGTACTTTGTGGAAGACAGAATTTAAGGGTGAGGGACTAGGTTATATGGAAGAAGAAATTTCTAAGCAAAGCACTCATGATGCTCTATGGTTTCCCTTCACTGCTTATAGCACAATGCTAAAAAAACAAAAAAGATAATTGAATTAAAAATGGAATTTGTAACCAAAAGAAGCAGAACTTAAAGATTTAGACCTAGCGAGCGGAAAGTAGCAACTATACTAGACGTAAGTAAGCAACTATACTGGACATGTAATTGGTAAGCCAATGACATGTCAGATGGTGGAAAATAAATCTAACAAAAATTCAAGGTCTTCCACTTCAGTAAAATTTCTAAGTGTCCAGTGGTGTGGTACAAGCCAAGATATTCCTTCTAAGATAAAGGATATGTCTTTGCATCTGGCTTCTCCTACAAACAAAACAAAAGCAATAAACAAAAACAACAAAGGACAAGAAGCACAATACCTAATCAGCCTCTTTGAATTCGGAGGAAACATATTTCTTATTTAAATGTGTTACTCTAATCCATTTACTGAAGGACCTGAAAACCTGCTAGTGTTGTGTAGGACCTAGTATTAGAGAAGGCTCTGCAACAGGTTTTTAAACACAATAGCAAGAAAACAAATAATACAATTACGGGCAGAGGACCTTAAAAACATTTCTCAAAGACGTACAAATTGCCAAAAGGCATGGAAAAATAGGCTTAACATCAATAATCATCAGAGAAAAGCAAATCAAAGCCACAAGGATCTACAATCTCATACCTGTCAGAGCAGCTATTAAAAAAAAACCTCACAAATGATTATAAGTGTTGGTGAGGATGTGGAGAAAAGGAAACACTTGTATACTATTGGTAGAAATGTAAATTAGTATAGTCATTAGGAAAAACAGTATGGAGGTTCCTCAAAATATTCAAAATAGAACTACCATATTATTTAGCAATTCCACTTCAGAAAATATACACAAAAAATAAAATCAGTATGTTAAAGGAACATCAGTACCCCCGTGTTCATTGCAGAACTATTTACAATCACCAAGATGTGGAAAAAATCTAAATTTCCCTCAGTGAATGAATTAAGAAAATGTGTGAGAGAGAGACACACACACAAGTAAATACTACTCATCCATTAAAAAATGAAAGCCTGTCATTTGAAGCAACATGGATGAATCTGGATAACATTATGTAGAATTATGTAAGTGAAATAAGACAGAAAGACAAATAACACATGATCTCACTTATATGAGGAATCTAAAATAGTAGACTGCATAGAGGTTGAGAGTAGAATGATGATTATCAGGAACTAGGACTAGGAGGCGACATTGGGGAGATATTGGTCAAAGCATACAAAATTTTGATTAGACAGGAGGAATAAGTTCAAAAGATTTACACTACAAGGTGTCTAGTTAATAACAATGCATTGTATACTTGAAAATTGCTAAGTATATGACTTTGAAATGCTTTCAACACAAAAAATAAGTATATGAGATAATGGATATGTTAATGAGGTTGATTTAATCATTCCACAGTGTATACACATGTCAAAACATCATGGTGTACACCATAAATATATACAATTTTAATTTGTTAATAAAGGTATGATCTATGAGGAAAAAAATAAAAACAAATTCAAACAAATGAGCAAACAAAAAGCAGTTCTGGGCTGTTGTGAAAACTGCTCTGCTGCTGGACATGTGATCCAGTATATTCAATGACACTGGAATTGTCAGTGGCAGATGCTGTTTGGAGCTTTTGGCAGGCCCCTGTTGGTGATTCACAGTACAGGCCCTTAGAATTTTGAAGCAAAACATTGCCATCCTCTCCATAAAACATTTCTCCTGAGAAACAGCTCCTGGCCTCCTTCTTGGTCTTAATAGAAATTAAAAGCCTAAATATGGGCCAACAAGTTGCATTGTCATGAGTATCCCTCCTTATTTGTTATGAATATGTTTGTGTGTGTATATCTATATCTAGATAGAGAGAATAATTAAGCAAACATATTTTTTCTTCTCTTTCTTATCCCCTTATTATGTAACATAGATATATTGATATTATAATAGTATTTAAGTATTATTAATTTTACATCACAGTATTTAAGTTAGAAGATATAAAGAAGAAGGCGAAACACCACTGAAGGACTTTACCTCCACTTCTGGGGAAAAGATTAGCATGCTTTGGGTTGTATGCAGGACAGCTGTAGCATTTTAGGTGGAATTATGAACTTGTTATTGCTTCATTGGGGATTATATATCATTTAAGGATGTGGATATGAAGTTGACAAGGGGTAAAGTTGTAATGGTTAATTTTATGTGTCAACTTAAATGGGCCATGTGGAGCCTACATAAACATTATTCTCAGTGGCTTTGTGATCCTTTTTCTGGATGAGATTAACACTTTTATTGGTAATCTGAGTAAAGCAGATTGCCTTCTTTAAGGCGGCTGGGCCACATCCAATCTGTTGGAGGCCTGAATAGGAAAAATATATAAATAAAAGTGGAGTAAAGGTATATTTACTCTCTCTGTCTGACAGTCAACCAGCTGGGACATCAATCTTCTCTTATCTTTGCACTTGGATTCAGACTGGAGTTTACACTATAGGCTCTCCTGGTTCTTAGGTCATCGGGCTATGCTTGAAACCTACGTCATCAGTTTTCCTGCTTCTCAAGCCTTTGGATTGAGACTGGAAGTATACATTTGCTCTCCTAGGTCTTCAGCTGGCTGATTGCAGGTCATAGGACTTCTCAGCCTCCATAACCACGCAAGCCAATTCCTTCCTGTATATACATGCAAGCAAACACACGCACAAACACACATATCTATATATGTGCGAACTCTAGAGAACTGAAACTAATACACACACACACACACACACACACACACAAATACAGACATTCACACACACATTTCAAAAGATGTTGAAAACCCACTAGACAAAATTAAATGCATCTCTTGATAATAAAAAAACTTTGGGCAAACTTTGAGCAAAGGAACTTTCTTTAATGCAATTAAGTATGTCTATTAAAAACCTTCAGTTAACATTACATTTTGTGTGAAATACTAAACATAACATCATTTGACTAGAAATAAGTATATCTTTTCTCACAACTTTATTCAAGGCGGTACATCGAATTCAGTGGAATAAAAAGAAATAGAGAGATCTGGAACTTGTAGAGAGATCTACTTATAGAGAGATCTGGAAAATGAAAATAAAACTGTTCATTCAAAAACAACATGGTTGTTTATTCAGAAAATTCTAATTACTCTAAAAATAACTACTAAAACTAAACAGCAAATTTAGCAAGGTCACAGAATACAGTCTTTACAAAAATTTAATGTATTTCTCCATATTTAGATCAAATGACTAGAAAATGAAAAACAAAATTCATTTTAAATAGTAACAATAAAATATAATACCAAGGAGTTCATGCACCAACAGTTATTCAATACCTATATATCAAAGACTTAAATAAATGGAGAATTATGTCATAGATTAGTGGAGAAGTATGCATAGATTGTTAAGAGCTAATTTTCTACAAATTAATACACAAATGTAATGCTATCCCAATCACAATCTGAATTGTTATTTTGATAAAAATTGACATCTGTTTGTAAAATATATTTGCAAATGGCACAAAATAAAAATTTTGAAAGAGAAAAAGTATGGAAGACAACTCTACATGATTTCATGACTAAATGAGAGTGTTAGTAATAAAGAGAATGTAGTTCATGCATTAGCAGAAATAATACAATTAGTGGAACAGAAAAGAGATAAGACATGTAACAACACTAATGAAAGGCCACTTAGTAGGTCAAGAAAAGGCTTTTCAGCAAAATATACTGAATATTAGTACAGAGAAATATGTATCTCAGTCCCCAATACATACCAATTACAAAAACTTTTAAAGATATGCAGCCTTTAGTGTAAAGACAATGTTTTTACATCTTTGAAGTAGGAAAACTTATCTTAGACAACTCACATAAAACCCCGAAGATAAAAAATTTAAAAATTGATATATTTCCTTAAAATGATAACAATTTTCATCAAAATGTATCATTTAGAAATTTAGAAAATAAAATCCATAGATTGGGAGAAAAGATTTGTTATTTATATTTTTTTGTTTTTTGTTTTTTGTTTTTTGTTTTGAGATGGAGTCTCACTATGTCACCCAGGCTGGAGTGCAGTAGCATGATCTCAGCTCACTGCAACCACTGCCTCCTGGGTTCAAGCAATACCCCTGCCTCAGCCTCCCAAGTAGTTAAGATTACAGGCATGAGCGACTGCACCCGGCTAATTTTTTGTATTTTTAGTAGAGACGGGGTTTCACCATGTTGGTCAGGCTGATCTCGAACTCCTGACCTCAAATGATCCTCCTGTCTTGGCCTCCCAAAGTTCTAGGATTACAGGCGTAAGCCACCACACCTGGCCATTTGTGATATATGTTTCTAACTCAGGATTTTATTTAGAATATAAGAACAACTCTTCCACACAAATTATTAAAGGAAAGAATCCATATGAATTATCAAATCACTTTAATAGACATGTCACTAAAAAAGATGCACTATGCTTAATTAGTTATTAGATTTGCTCTTTATCATTAGTCATTTTGGAAATTCAAATTAAAACTACTACAATGAGCTGCTGCTATATGCATTCTGGCTAAAACTGAAAAGCCTGACTATACTAAATGTTTATGAGGATATGGAAAGTTTGAAACTCTCATAAAATTTTGTTGAAAATGAAAGATGATGCAATCACTTAACAAATCTCTTTGGCAATTTTTTTTTAAGTTAAGCATACACCTAACCTATGATCCAGCAATTTCACTTTATCCAACAGAGACGAAAATACCAAAAATGGATTTTTATAAGAATGTTTACAGAAGCTTTATTTATAACAGCCTAAAATGGAAACAACCCACAGATTTATGAACACGATAATAGTAAGCTATATTATCCTATATTCATATAATGGGAAACTACTCATCAACAAAATGGAATGAGGTGCTGGGTCATCCATGAACCATATGAACTATCTGAATAGCATTATGCAAAGAGAAAGAAACCATGCACTAATAGAGACCTGCAAGATTATCTGTATAAAGTTTATATTTAGGTAAGAACAGGCAAACCTAATCTACATAGATGGAAATCAAAGCCCTAGTTTCCTATGATTAAAGAAAATTTGTTCTAAGATTGCAAAACAGACCACTCAGGGATGATGGGAACGTTCTATTTATTAATTTAGGTAATGAATACATGGTGTATACACTCACAAAAACTAACATAAGATACAAGTATTTCATTGCATTTAATATTTGTTTGAAAGAAACAAAAATAATAAAACAAATAAATTAGATACAATAATTATGCAATTTTAGTAATGAGGAGACTGAGACATTGAGAATTTAAACCACTTGTTCAAGCCTATTCAGGTTTATATGGCAGAGCCAGTGTCAAATCCACGTAATTCCTCATAGAAATATTAAACTCACAGGATTTAATAGAATGTCTAAGGCAGAGATCATTAGATTTTTGCAAACTTCTTTTTCAGCCATTTTCATGTAAAGAAGTATTCAGCTCAATTTCTACAAAAATATAGTTTGGTTGTCAATATATGTGGAGAGTTTATAATTTAATATCTGAATCAAGACATATTTGAAAGTGAAAAGGGATCCTATTAGTTACTTCCAGGTAAACAGTTATAAATGTGGATTGTCCTCTGCAAAACAGAATATATGGCCATCCTACAAATGAAGGGTGTTTTTATTTTAAACACATGTACATGAGCTTACATGCATATGCACACAGTATGCCATCCTCAGAGATACACGGGATTAAACTCCTAGAAACACAAAAGTTCTATTCATCATCCTTGAGAAAAAGTGAGGTGACTGATTTCTTATATAGTTTACAAATGTTAGACTCCCAAGAAAGCCTGGTGCTGCTCTTAAAGACAGAAAGTTGGATTTTTTGGGGTGACACCTTGTTCCAACGATTACAAAACCAAAAAACTTACTGACTCACCACTATATAAAAGAAATCGAGCTCATCTCTGAAATTCCAAAAAATAAAAATAAAATTCCCTTCCTCTTTCATTTTGTGATCACTATTTCTGAAATTATTAAATTATAACAAACACAAATATGACAAATAAAGAATTTAGCATTTGGCATACTGCTATGGCTGAATTGTGCCTCCAGTATCCTAAAATTTGTATGTTGAAGTGCTAACCACAAGTACCTCAGAATGTGTCGGCATTTGGAGATAAAGCCTTTACATAAGTAACTAAATTAAAATGAGTTCATTAAGGTGGGCACTATTCCAATATAACTGATGTCCTTACAAAAAGAGAAAATCTGGTCACAAACATGTATAAAGAGAAGACAATGTGTGCCGGGCATGGTGGCTCAGGCCTGTATCCCAGCACTTTGGGAGGCCAAGGCGGACGGATCATGAGGTCAAGAGATTCAGACCATCCTGGCCAACATGTTGAAACCCCTCTCTACTAAAAATACAAAAATTAGCTGGGCGTGGTGGCGCAGGTCTGTAGTCTCAGCAACTCAGGAGGCCGAGGTTGCAGTGAGCCAAGATAGCGCCACTGCACTCCAGCCTGGAGACAGAGCGAGACCCCCCTCGCAAAAAAAATAAAATAAAGGCCAGGTGCGGTGGCTCACGCCTGTAATCCCAGCACTTTGGGAGGCCCAGGCGGTTGGATCACGAGGTCAGGAAATCGAGACCATCCTGGCTAACATGGTGAAACCCCATCTCTTCTAAAAAATACAAAAACTTAGCCAGCCGTGGTGGCGGGCCCCTGTAATCCCAGCTACTTGGGAGGCTGAGGCAGGAGAATGGCGTGAACCCGAGAGGCAGAGCTTGCAGTGAGCCGAGATCGCGCCACTGCAACTCCAGCCTAGGTGACAGTGCGAGACACTGTCTCAAAAAAAAAAAAAAAAAAAGAGAGACAATGTGAAGACAAAGGATCAAGACGAACATCTACAACTCAAGGAGAGGATCCTGAAACATGCCCTTTTCACATAGTCATCAGAAAGAATCAATCTTGTTGACACCTTGATCTGTTTCAGCCTTCAGAAATGTGACAACATAAATTTCTGTTGTGTAAGCGTTTTAGTGTGTGATGTTTTTTATAGCAGCCTTAAAAGACTAATATACAATACAAAGTGCATTCCAAGAGTAATTTAATTTCCTTGTTTGTATTCTGTTTTCAAATGTTTACCATGTAATATTTTCTTAACCCAGTAAACACACACATATGCACACACACACAAACATACAATTTTCCAAAGTATATAGAAAAAATTAAAATGAAGATGAAAAATATTACATTTTCTTTTAGTAGCGTCCCATAGAAAAACATGTTTTCGTGCAACTATTCTTGTAGAGAAAGGTTCTTCTAACATAAACACGTGTCAAAATGATAATCATAATAAAAATTATGATGGTGATATTAATGTTAGCTGATTCTTATTAACTGTTTTTAGTGATATAGGCAGTATTCTAAATGTACACATGCACTATCTTATTTAATCTTCAAAACAATTATTTTAATTTTACTACACATTAAATTTTACATTTAATATTACAAATGAGGAGTTAAGACACGGAAAGATTAAGAAACTTTCCCAGTGTCACAAAGAGTATTTGAGTTAAGGAACTCAACATTCACAGACCACGTAGTATCTCTTCTAGCTCTTTGTATGAGACACCCATATATATTTTATGTGTGTATACATATATATATACAATTTAAAGCATATATGTGCATATCTTTTAAAATATACACAAATGTGATTATCTTATATTGAATTATTTTATATCATGGTTTGTTTTTACCACATAAAAATATATCCATATCAGCACATTTAGTTTAATCTTACTTAAAAATATAACTGCATGTTTCATAGTTTACATGTATCATATTTCATTTAAGCTATCTACAAGTGACAGTCATTTAGCTTTATTTAAGCTTTTGTTCCCCACTGTTACAATCAACGCTGTAATAAACAGCAAAAAATTTATCACTTTTTCCATTCCTTATTGACTTTGTGGAATATATGAATACTGTGAAATTTCTGGGTTAACGGTATGTGCATAGAGGATTTGGATAGGTACTGCCAAATCTCCCTTCAAAATCTTAAGGCAATTTAAAATCCCTCCTCAGCACATGATAGTGTCTTTTCCCAAGGTGAAGACTTACATATTGAGTTTGGATCATATTATTTTTTCCACACAGAATGGATTTAAATGGTTTATTGGGATTCCATAAGAGCCAATTTTTTAGAAGTACTATACATTAAATTACACAGAACACCAGGAGTCTTGTTGATTACTTATAGTAACCTTATTATCAGAAGATTGCAGTGTAATTATTGCAATGTTAATTGCATTTCTTCCTTTCTTGATTATCTTAAGAGAAATCTAGCCCACACTCCCTTTCATCATAAGGCAAGTCAGCTCCAATATAACCTACAATTAAATCAAATTCATAATCATGTCTCTTTTCAAGTAATATTATATCCCTTTGTGTTGATTATTTTAATATGGTACAGTCTTCATTTCTCCAGGAATTATATTTTGGCAGCATATTCTAATATCTTGACCCATCATGCATTTACACCTTGATTGAATCTTCTCTGTATTCATAACCTTGATCCCAATTACTTCTTTCAGGATTCTTTCTTATTTCCAAGGCACACTTTGAATTCTGTTGGCCTCATTAGCATAATACCCCTTTGGAATTCGAAGCATTACTTTGTTTGGATGTGCATATTTGAATACAAGTACGTGATGTTGTTTTCTCAAGAACTATAGAGTTTTCATGAAAATGAAGCAAACATAACTACAAATGCAAGGCTATTTAAGAATACTTAATTTATATTATTTTTAATTGAAAAATCATAATTGTATTACATTATGGAGTTCAATGTGATTTGATATATGTGTTTACAATGTGAATTGATTAAATCAAGATAACTAACATAACCAGCACCTCACTTATTAACATTTTTTGTGCTGATACATTTGAAATTTATTTATTAGTTATTGTGAAATACACAATACATTATTATTGACTATAGACACTCTGCTGTGCATTTAGTCTCAAAACTTATTCTTCCTGTATGGCTGAAACAACATACCCTTTGACCAGTAACTCTCCATTCTCTCATTACACACCCCCCTTCATTTTTGGTAAACATCATTTCACTCTCTTCTGTGGATTCAACTTTTTTAAGATTCCATACACAAGGGAGATCATGCAGTATTTGCTGTTCTGTGCTTAGCTAATTTTACTTAGCATAACGTTCTCTAGATTTATCTATGTTATCCCAAATGACAGAATTTTCTTCTTTTTTTAAGACTGAATAGTATTCCATTGTGTATATACATTATACTTTCCCATCCATTTGTCTGCTGATGGACATTTACATTGACCAAGATCGACAAACTGCATTTAAATTGTATTCAAGTTAATGTACAAAAATATAGATAACAACACTTTTGAAAAAAGTCTCCACATTAACCACTAGTGTTTTATATTCTATGCGATAAAACTAGGTATATCCATCACTCCATGTAATCATTCTGTATGATTCCCAGCAGATTTAAGATCAAGGATGGCAGACCTGTGATCAATGGGATAGTGTAGTCCCTATTTATTTAAGTGAAGATTTAATTAATATCTATCATGTGGAGAGCCCTCTGCAAAGTTTGTGAGTAGATCTAGGATCTATAGCTTTCTTATATTTCTTTAAGTAAGACTCTTACTACCAGATTGTATGTACATGAATAACTCTACTTCTGAATGATAAATGTAAAATGCATCAATGAAATTAAAGAAGAAATTTTCTTACAACGAAGAGAAATATCAAAAAACCAAAAGTAATGTTTTTAATATTATGGACTATTCATCAAAACATTATTCTCTATCATAAATGACCTTATTTTGATACAATTCATTTCCTATTTAAAAGAACAACCCAATAATTCATTTCATATTCATTTATTGGGATCTTCTTCTATAAATGCACAATAGATACTGTTCTTCATGTTAAGAATTCAGTGATAAAAATTTTGTGCACTCATGATGACGTGGGAGAGATAAACAACAAAATTAAAAATAAATAAAATGCCAAGTGGTGACATATTTTATGGAGAAAAGTATTTAAGGGATAGGGATGAAGAAATATGAGGGTTGCAAGTTTTCAAAAGATAATCAAGGATGTTCTTCCTGATAAGCTTACATTTTACGACAGACTTAAAGGTTGTCTAGCTGCCCGTCTTATGGATTTCTTTCCCAAGAAAGAGGGTTACCACCTGTGAGAAGGGTGAATATGAAGAAGCAGATATTCCCTTTGTGAATCAAAGAACAAGGAGGCCAATCTATCCAGGGCAAAGTGGGCCAGATGGAGAGTGGCAGGAGATAAATTCAGAGAAGTGGTGAGTAGGAGGATCATGTAGAAGCTTGCTGCTGGATAGATTCTGTTGACTTCCATATTCATGCCCTGTATAATCCCCTCCCTTTGAGTTTGAGGAGAACCTGTAATTTGATTTTCACTATTAGAAGATGGCAAAATAGAGACGCCACTCTGATTTTTACACTTTCATTAAGTGTGTGTGTGTGTGTGTGTATGTTTATGTATGTGTGTGTGTGCATGTGTATAATTTTGCTAGCAGACACTAAAGATTCACCATCTTCATTGTTGGCTTTAAAAAGATAAACAAACATGTTCTTACAGGGCGTATGGAGAGAGTCATGTGTCAAGGAACTACAAGTGACCTTCAGGAGCACAGTGAGATGTTTGTGACAGACAGAACGAAAACAGAGACTTTATTTCTACAACCAACAACAAAGCAGAGATACATTCTGTCAAGAGCTTGTGGGAGCCTGTAAGCAGATTCTTCCCTAGTCAAGTCTCTGATAAGACTACCACTCTGGTCAGCACTAGGGTTTCAGCCTGACAAAATCCTGAAGTGAAGAACCCAGATAACTTGTGTCTAAATGGTCTAAACACATGGTGCATAGGAATTTTGAGATAATAAATATGTGTCATTTTAAACCTACTAAATTTATGCAGCAATAGATAATTAATGGAAGGCTTGTAGGAGTTATAAGGAATTTGTCAGTGCTTTGCTCAGAGTATAATGGAAAGCGTTAGAGGCTTTTGAGCACAGAAGTGTTAACATGTGACTTATGTTTTAAAAGGATTACCTGGCTGGTGTGTTGCAAACAGACAGTGAAAGGAAGGGCAAGGGTAGGGATAGGGGCAGGTGGTTAGAAGATATAATAATAATCTAAGCAAGAGATTTGATGGTATGCGCTCGTGTGGTAGCAAATGAGGAGATTGTGTGAAGTGATACGATTGTCGATTGTATTTTGAAAAAACAGTCTTAGATTAGTATTTTTTTTTAAAGACATGGTCTCACTCTGTCATCCAGACTGGAGGGCAGTGGCACAATCGCAGCTCACTGCAGCCTCAACCTCCTGGATTCAAGTGATCCTCCCACCTCAGCCTCCTACGTATCTGGGACTACAGGCACGCACCACTACATCCAACTAATTTTTGTATTTTTTGTAGAGTTGGGGTTTCTCCTTGTTATCCAGGCAGGTCTCAAAATCCCGGAGTCAAGTGATCCACTTCCCAAAGTGCTGGGATTATAGGCATGAGCCACCATGCCCAGGGAGATGAGTGATTTTGAGAGAAGAGTCAGAAATGCCTCCATGGTATTTAATCTGAGCAACTGAATAATTACGTTTCCATTGGACAAGATAATCATAAAAGATTTATTCATTGTTTACTCCCTGAAAGTGGGTAGCATGAAGTTCATTAATAAACAACTTTATTCATGTCACAGTCATTTCATAATTGATAATGTTGCATGGATTAAGGTTCAAATAATCCATGGTATAACAGAAGTGTTCAGGTACACAGTTAGCCCCTTTTATTACTGCTTTCCTAACACCCGACCTCTGTAACCTAAACACCCAGGGTTCTTTATCTAGTGCTATCTAGTCATGTACCTAGTGCTAAATAAATCTGCTTCTAAGCTCCCTCAGGCTGTTTACAGAAGGCACTCTAGTGTAACACACATTGATAAAGTGTGCTAAAAAGCAAGTAACATCATAACTTTACTCAATATCTACCAAGGTGTTATTTTATGGAGTAAAATAATTTCCCAGATCTCTTAACATGTTCTTACAGGGCGTATGGAGAGAGTCATGTGTCAAGGAACTACAAGTGACCTCCAGGAGCACAGTGAGATGTTTGTGACAGACAGAACGAAAACAGAGACTTCATTTCTACAACCAACAACAAAGCAGAGATGCATTCTGTCAAGAGCTTGTGGGAGCTTGTAAGCAGATTCTTCCTTGAACCTGTTGGCTTCAAACTGTCAAAAAACAAAACAAAACCCAACGTATGTTAGAGTTAATATGCATTTTTATATTTTATTGAAACAATAAAGTGATAATTTACTAGAGGTTTTAACATCAAACGAAAGAATGAAATAAATTTCCTTTATATATGAGTGCCTTATGATTGCTTTCATCTTTCTGAAGCCTTTTTTATACTTTTATATTAAAACATTTTCATATCTAAAAAATGTTATCATTTTTGGAGATATTTTATTTGCTTTTTATTTTTTATTTTTAAATTTTGGGACTATATTATAGGCATATATACTTAAGAGTTACATGAGACATTTTGATAAAGGCATGCAATGCATAATAATCACAACTGGGTAAATGGGGTATCCATCAGCTCAAGCACTTATCCTTTTTGTTACAAACAATCCAATTATAGTCTTTTAGATATTTTTAAATGCACAATTAAATTAGTTTTGACTATAGACACCCTGTTGTGCTAGCAAATAGTAGGCCTTAATCATTCTTTCAAACTATTGTTTTTGTACCCATTAACCATCCTCACCTCCCGTCACCCCTCACCAACCATCTCAGCCTCTGGTGATCATCCTTCCACTCTCTACTTCCATGAGTTAAGTAATTTTAATTTTTAGCTACCACAAATAAGTGAGAACATGTGAAGTTTTCCTTTCTGTGCCTGCCTTATTTCACTTAACATAATGACCACCAGTTCCATCCACATTGTTGCAAATGACAGGATCTCATTCTTTTTATGGCTGAATAGTACTCCATTGTGTATAGGTAGCGCAGTTTCTTTATCCATTTATCTGTTGATGGACACTTTTGTTGCTTCCAGATCTTGGCTATGGTGAATAGTGCTGCAATATACATGTGAGTGCACGTATCTCTTTGACAGACCAATTTCCTTTCTTTGGGGTATATCCATAGGAGTGGGATTGCTGAATGTTACAGAAGCTCTATTTTTCCTTTTTTGAGGAACCTCCAAACTGTTCTCCATGGTGTTTGTACTAATTTACATTCCCACCAACAGTGTACAAGGATTCCCTTGTCTCCACATCTTTGAAAGCATTTGTTATTGTCTGATTTTAGATAAAACCCATTTTAACTGGGATGAGATGATACTTCACTGTGGTTGTGATTCACATATTTCTCTAATGATCAATAATGTTAAGCATCTTTTCATATATCTCTTGCGATTTGTATGTCCTCTTTTGAGAAATTTCTATTAAGATCTTTTGCCTACTTTTAACTGAATTATTAGATTGTTTCCTCTGGACTTGTTTGAGCTTCTTGTATATTTTGGTTATTAATCCCTTGTCAGATAGGGAATTTGCAAATATTTTCTTCCATTCTGTGGGTTGTCTCTTCACTTTGTTGATTTTTTTCCTTTGCTATTCAGAAACTTTATAACTTGATAGGATCTCATTAGATCATGTTTGCTTTGGTTGCCTGTGTTTGTTGGGTATTACTCAAAAAGTCTTTGCCCAGTCCAATGTCCTGGAGAGTTTCTCCAAAGTTTTCTTTTAGTAGTTTCATAATTTGAAGTCTTAGACTTATGTCTTTAATATATCTTGATATTATTTTTGTATATAAAGTTCTAACTTGATTCTTCTATATATGAATATCCAGTTTTCCCAGCACCATTTATTGAAGATACTGTCCTTTCCCCAGTTTATGTTCTTGGTAACTTTGTCAAAAATGAGTTCAGTTTTGATGTATGGATTCGTCTCTGAATTGTAACAGGCAGAGGTTGGAACATTTTGAAGAATTTATAGGATGACAAGAAGATGTGAGAAAGTTTGGAACTTCCTAGAGACTTGTTGAATGGCTTTGAGCAAAATGCTGATAGTGTAATTTAGATAATGAAGTCAGGAAAGAGGTAGTCTCAGATGAAAATGAGTAACTTGTTGGGAAGTGGAATAAAGGTGACTCTTGTTATGTTTTAGCAAAGAGACTGGTAGCATTTTACCCCTGTCCTGGAGATCTGAGGAACTCTGAACTTGAAAGAGATGATTTAAGGTATCTGGTGGTGGAAATTTCTAAGGAGCAAAACATTCAAGAGCTGACTTTGGTACTGTTAAAAGCATTCAGTTTTATGTATTCACAAATACATGGTTTGGAACTGGAACTTACACTTAAAAGGGAAGGAGAGCATAAAAGTTTGGAAAATCTGCAGCCTGATGATGCAAGAGAAAAACCATTTTCTGAGGAGAAATTCAAGCCTGCTTCAGAAATTTGTGTAAGTAACGAGAAGCCAAATGTTAATTGCCAAGACAATGGGGCAAGTGTCTCCAGGGCATGTCAGAGATCTTCACAGAAGCCCCTCCCATCATAGGCCCAAAGTCCCAGGAGGAAAAATGGTATCATGGGCCAGGTCCAGGGCCTTGCTGCTTTGTGCAGTCTTGGGACTTAGTGTCCTGCATTCCAGGTGTGGTTAAAATGGGCCAACCTACAGCTCAGGCCATTGCTTCAGAAGGTTCAAGCCTGAAGCCTTTGTGGCTTACATGTGGTGATGGGCCTGTGGGTGCACAGAAGTCAAGAATTGAGGTTTGGCAACCTCCAACTAGATTTCAGAGGATGTATGGAAATGACTAGATGTCCAGGCAGAGGTGTGCTGTAAGGGTGACACCCTCGTGAAGAACCTCTGCTAGGGAAGCGTGGAAGGGAAATGTGGGGTTGGAGCCCCACCCAGAGTCTCCACTAGGGCACTGCCTAGTGGAGCTGTGAGAAGAGGGCCACCATCCTCCAGACCCCAGAATGGTAGATCCACTGACAACTGGTACCATATGCCTGGAAAAGTCACTGACACGCAACACTAGCCTGTGAAAGCATCTGGGAAGGGTCTCTACTCTGCAAGCCACAGGGGCAGGGCTGCCCAAGGCATGGGAGCCCACCTCTTGCATCAACATTACCTGGATTGAGACATGCAATCAAAGGAGATCATTTTGGAACTTGAAGGTTTAATGACTGCCCTATTGGATTTCAGACTTGCATGTGTCCTATACCCCTTTGTTTTGGCCAATTTCTCCCGGGTGGAACAGATGTATTTTCCCAATACCTGTATACCCATTGTATCTAGAAAGTAACTAATCTGCTTTTAGTTACTTTCATAGACCCATAGGTAGAAGGGAGTTGCCTTGTCTCAGATGACACTTTGGACTTGGACATTTTTGTTAATGCTGGAATGAGCTAAGACTGTAGGGGACTGTTGGAAAAGCAAAGTTATGTTTTGACTGTGAGGATGTGAGATTTTGGAGGCACCAGGGGTGGAATGATATGATATGGAATGATATGGTTTGGCTGTGTCCCCATTCAAATCTCATTTTGAACTGTAGTTCCCATAATCCCCTTGTGTCATGGGAGAGACCAGGTGGAGATAATTGAATCATGGTGACAGTTTCCCCCATAGGGTTCTCATGATAGTGAGTGAGTTCTCACAAGATCTGATGGTTTTATAAAAAGCTTCCCCTTTTGCTCAGTTCTCATTCTCTCTCTCATGAAGAGGTGCCTTCTGTTATGATCATAAGTTTCATGAAGTCTCCACAGTCACGCGGAACTGTGAGTCAATTAAACCTCTTTTCTTTACAAATTACCCAATCTCATGTATTTCTTCATAGCAGTGTGAGAATGGACTAGAGCAATACCTATTTTCCACTGGCAAATTTATTGTGGATATGACCAAAATCTAAATTCTGTGCTCATAGTAAAATCAAAAAGGTACCTTTTTACTGGTTTACACACATTAATGCAAACCCATTATCACTTTATAAAATTCTAAGCTTACATTTCATATAATCATGCATTAGAATTTCATGTATGAATGTAACATGTGAGTACTAGATTTTAGTGAAATAATTCTTTAATTTGAAACATAATCAAAGGTTTCTGAAAGAAATGTAATATTTGAAGAAAATGTTTTCAATAGTAGAGATTTTTCATGTTCCTCATCATTTTTAAAAAGAAAATTTGCATATTAGTGTATAACTGTTTCTGCTGCAGCTGCTTCCACTCTTGCAAATATTTTGATAACAAAGTCTAAGCTCTTAAGCATTGTTGAATACTACCTATTTTTTAACCTCAAAAAGTAATTTGTGGTGTTTGATGCCTTATATTTTTGTTTGTATCTTCTTCTCATCTGTTTTTTTTAAGTCCCTAGTCAGATCTGAACTATTTTCCGGTTCTTGTATTGACTAACTGAAAATGAGAATGCTGTTGAAGCGCCGTTTGTACCACTAGTAGTGACTGGCCATCTTAAGTGGTAGCTCATCTTCTGGCCAGAATAATTTTTCCCCCATAAGCACAGAATGATGGCTCACAGAGAAAACGAAAGGTTAAAAATAAAGACAAAATTTATGTGAGCAAGAATCTTTTTTTTTTTTTTTTTTTTGGCTGTGAACCGTGCTCCACAAACAATACATTTTCCTGTAATTTGAAAGAGTAGACAATAGACTCTCTTCTTTTCAGAAACCTTTTAAATTGGCAAACAGCCATTCTGAACACCAGGCACATTCTAGCCCTTCTATATTGACATGAGGCTGGGACATGTTCAGCAAAGAAGCAATAGTGCACATTTTCTTCCAACAACAGAAATTGCACTCTTTTCCAACAAAATCTTTTAGGCAAATAGTTAACCCTGAAACCTCTGGCTTTACTCAAAATGCTCAGATTTATAAACACAAAATACTCACAATGACTGGCATATGTTTAAGCCATGTCTTTTTGAAATTAGAAAGTAGACACATACACACACATCACTGAGTTTTATGAAGACTGTTTCAAAGGTCTCCTACATGCCTATTATATATCTTAAGCTCTTGGCCTTGAGTTCCCTTTGTACAAGTTTAACAACAGTGTCACGTAAGCATGTACATCGATTTGTCGTGATTAATCAAGAAGATAGGCAGCCTAACAGCTCTAATTTCCTTAAGCTCAACTACCACAATTTATGTATTTTTATAGGCATTTATTCATTTTTCTATAGATTGGATTAAGTCAATATAATTTCTGCATCAAAGTTGTGATATACATAGACAGATTTAGACATGTATATATATTTATTATCAAATGGATTCAAAACGCACACTTTTTCTATTTTATTTTTCAAAGACTTTTTAAAGTGCAGTTTCAGGATGACTGTAAAATTGAGATAAAGTTACAAAAATTATACATACATTTCTGTCCATAATATTACTAATATCCAGTGTTTACACTGTGATATTAATGAAATATCACTGTGATATTTCTAATATCCAGTGTTTACACACCATATTAATGAAATATCACAGTGATATTTCTAATATCCAGTGTTTACACACTGTGATATCAACATCACTGAGATATTTCTAATATCCAGTGTGTACACACTGTGATAACAATGAAATATTTCAGCAATATTTCTTATATCCAGTGTGTACACACTGTGATAACAATGAAATATTGCTGCAATATTTCTTATATCCAGTGTGTACACACTGTGATATTCCTGAAATATCACTGTGATATTTCTAACATCCAGTGTGTACACACTGTAATATTAATAAACTATCGCTGAGATATTTCTAGTATCCAGTGTTTACACACTGTGATATTAATAAAATATTGCATGACATTTCTAATAGCCAGTGTTTACACACTGTGATATTAAGAAATGTCACTGTGATATTTATAATATCCAGTGTTTATACACTGTGATATTAATGAAGTATCACATATTTGTAATATCTAGTGTTTACATGCAGTGCTTACACTGTGATACTCATGAAATTTCACTGTGAGATTTCTAATATCCAGTGTTCACACACTGCGATATTGATGAAGTATTGCTGTGATATTTATAATATCCAGTGTTTATTTATACACAGTGTTTACACCCTGTGACATCAATGAAATATCACTGTGATATTTATAATATCCATTGTTTACACCCTGTGATATCAATGAAATATCGCTGTTATATTTATAATGTCCAGTGTTTACACCCTGTGATATCAATGAAATATCACTGTGATATTTATAGTATCCAATGTTTACACCCTGTGATATGAATGAAATCTTGTTGTGATACTTACAGCATCCAGTGTTTACACCCTGTGATATCAATGGAATACTGCTGTGATATTTATAATGTCCAGCGTTTAACCCTGTGATATAAACAAAATATGGCTGTGATATTTCCAGTATCCAATGTTTATATCCTGTGATATCAATGAAATGTCGCCATTTATAGTATCCAGTTTTTACCCCCTCTGATATCAACGAAATATTGCTGATATTTATAATATCCAGTGTTTACATCCTGTGATATCAATGAAATATCACTCCAGTATTTATAATATATAGTGTTGACGCCCTGTGATATCAATGAAATATCGCTGTGTTGCATAGCCACTCCCACTATCAATATCCTCAACTGGAGTGCTACATTTGTTACAGTTGATAAACCTACATTGTTACTTCATAATCACCCAAAGTCCATAATTTATATAAGAGTTTCTCTTGGTGTTGTACATGTTACATGGGTTTGGACAAATGTTTATGAAATATATCCGCAATTATAGTATCCTACAGAATAGTTCCTACCTTAAAATTCCTGTGTGCTCTGCGTATTCATTCCTTCCTCCCTCCGATCCTCTGATAACCGCTTATCTATTTACTGTCTCTAAAGTTTTGCCTTTTCCAGAAGGTCATGTATTTGTTATACTATACGACATAGCTTTTCAAACTGGCTTCTTTCACTTGGTAATATCCATTTAAGTTTCTTCCATGTCTTTTTATGGTTTGTTAGATCAAGTCATTTTAAAACTCAATAATACTTCATTGTCTAGATGTGCCACTGTTTATTAAGCCACTCACCTACTGAAGGATATCCCGGTTGCTTCAAGTTTAAGCAGTTTTTTTTTTTTTTTAAGCTGCTATAAACATCTCTGTTGCAGGATTTTGTGTGGATAAAAAATTTCAAAGTATTTATATACATACAAAAAGTGCTACTGATGCATCATATAGTAAGGGTATGTGTAGTCTTAGGCCAGGTGCTGTGGCTCCATGCCTGTAATCCTAGCACTTTGGGAGACTGAGGCAGGAGGATCGCTTGAGCTCAGGAATTTGCAACCGACCTGGGCAACATGGTGAAACCTTGTCTCTACAAAAAATACAAAAGTTTGTCAGGTGTGATGGTACATGCCTATAGTCCCAGTTACTCAGGAGGCTGAGGTGGGAGGATCACCTGAGCCTGGGGAGGTCAAAGCTGCAATGAGTGTGATCACACCACTGCACTGCAGCCTAGGTAACAGAGTGAGACGATGTTCCTCCCTGCAAAAAAATGAGTGTGTGTAGTTTTGGAAGACACTGCCAAACCTTCCTCTAAAGTGGCTTTACTATTTTGCATTCCCATAATAAATGAGAATTCCTGCTGCTTCATATTCTCACCAGCACTTGGCATTGTCAGTGCTCTGTATTTTTGTCATTCTAATATGTATGGAGTGGCATCTCATTGTTTCAATTTGCTATTTTCTAATTAAATATATACATGTATATATATATATATATATATATATATAGTTGGACATATTTGGATATGACTTCTTACATCTTCCTTGATAAAATGTCTGGGTGTCTGTTCAGTTGTTTTGTTCATTTTGTACCTGGGTTGCTCATTTTCTTATTTTGGAGTTTCAAAAGTACTTTGTACATTTTGGATTATAATATTTTATCAGCTGTGTCTTTTACAAATATTTTTGCCCAGTCTGTGGCTGTTCTCATTCTCTTGACATTGCAGAGCAGAAGTTTTCAATTTTAATGAAATCTAACTTATCAATTATTTATTTCATTGATTGTGCCTTTGGTGTTCATATAAAAAGGCATTGCTATCCCAAAGACTATGTAGGCTTTCTCCAAAGTTCTCTTCTAGGAGTTTTACCAATTTGTGTTTTATACTTAGGTCCATGATCCATTTTAATTTTTGTTGTTGCTGTTAAGAATATAATATCTGTGTTTAGATTCATTATTTTTTCAGGGGAATGTCAAGTTTTCTAACACCTTTAGTTGGAAAGACATTTTTCTGTATGTATCACCTTTGATCCATTATAAAAGATAAGCTGACTATACTTGTGTATGTCTATTTCTGACATCTCCATTCTGTCTCATTGATCTATTTGACTATTCATTAACCAACACCACACTGTCTTGATCATTTTATCTTTATAGTAAGGCTTCAAGTCAGGGTGTGTCAATCATACAATTCTGTTCATTTCCTTCAATATTGAGTTGGCTATTATTGGTCTTTTTTCTTCCTATACAAAGTTAAAAATAAGTTGATACCCACAAAATAATTTGCTGTGATTTTGATTGGTATTACATTCAATCTTTTTTTTTTTTTTTTTTTTTTTTTTTTGAGACGGAGCCTCGCTCTGTCGTCCAGGCTGGAGTGCAGTGGCGCAATCTCGGCTCACTCCAAGCTCCGCCTCCCAGTTTCACGCGATTGTCCTGCCTCAGTCTCCCGAGTAGCTGGGACTACAGGCGCCCGCCACCACGCCTGGCTAATTTTTTGTATTTTTAGTGGAGACGGGGTTTCACTGTGTTAGCCAGGATGGTCTCGATCTCCTGACCTCAAGTGATCTACCCGCCTCGGCCTCCCAAAGTGCTAGGATTACAGGCATGAGCCACCATGCCATGCCATTATTACATTAAATTTATAGATCAAAATCGTAATGATAGCTTGACAATATTATTCTTAGTATTCAATAATATTCTTATCTGTGTCTTTATTTAGCTTTGATTTCTTTCATCCAAGTTTTACTTTCCTTATATGGACTTTGTACATATTTTATTTATATCTTCCATTTTGAGTGCTTATGTCAATGTTACTGTGTTTTTAGTTTCAAATTCCCGTTGTTCAGTGTGAGTTTATAGGAAAGGGACCGACTTATGTTTATTCATCATGACTGTGCAACTTTACCGTAATTGTTTATTCCTTCTGAGAGTTGTTTTTGTTCATTTAGTTTTAATTCTTTCAGATTTTCTACATAAATGGTCATGTCATTGGCAAAGACAATTTTGCTTCTTCCTTCCCAATTTGTATATAGTTTTTATTTTCTTATTTTATTTTCTTGTCCTAGTGAATTAGCTAAGACATCTATGATGATGAAAAGAAATGGTGGGAAGAGAAAAATTTGTTTTGTTCTTAATTTTGTGGGAAAGTTTCTAGTTTCTCAGCATAAGGTGTGATGTCAGCTGTAGAGGATTTTTAGAAAATATTCTTTATGAAATTGAATAAGTTCCCCTCTATTTCTTGTTTCCTTAGAGTTTTTATTAATGATTATTGAATTTTGTCAAATGCTTTTTCTGCACGTTTAATTTATTTTTAACCTGTTGGTGTAATAGATTGATTTTTAAAATGTTGAATCAGCTTTGTAAGCCTAGGATATTCCATTTGGTCATGGTGTATAATTATTTTTATACATTGTTGGATCCTATAATGTTTTCTTGAGAATTTTTGTATCTATGTTGATGAGAGATATTAATCTATAGTTTTCTTCTAGTATCTTTTTTAGTTTTTGTACTGTAATAATGCTGGCCTCATATGATGAATTAGGTAGGATTCCCTCTGCATCTATTTTCTGGAAGAGACTGTAGAGATTTGGCATTATTTCTCTCATAAACGTTTGGTATATTATGTATATTGTTTACTCTTCATGTATTTTGAGATTTTCATGCTTGCTTTCTGTTATTGATTTCTAGTTTAATTCTAGTCTGGTCTGAAAGCAGAATCAGATGATTTTTGTTCTTTTAAATTTGTGTTTTTATGGCCCAGATGTGAATCTATCTTGGTGAACATTCCATGTGAACTTGAGAAGAATTTATCGTGCTGTTGTTGGATAAAACTGTTGACACATGCGCATTATATCATGTGATTGATATTTCTTAGTTCAACTCTTTCCTTAATGATTTTCTGCCTGCTGGATCTCTCCATTTCTGATAGTGTTGTTGAACTGCTCCATGTTAATAGTAAATTTAGCTATTTATCTTTGCATTTCTACCACTTTCTGCTTCACATATATTGACACTCTGATTTTAGGATTGCATGTGTTCTTGAAGAACTGACCCACTTATGGTTATGTAATGCCCTTCTTCATTACTAATACGTTTCCTTTCTTTGAAGTGTACTTTGTCTCAAATTACTATAGCTTCTGCTGCTTCATAATAATTATGAAGCTATATTATAATTTTGATTATTAGTAGTATATTTCTCTCCATTTATTTAATTTATATGTCCCTCTATATTTAAAGTGGGATTTTTTATACTTTGGTATATACAACATATATTTTCATCAACTCTGAAAACTCTGTCTTTTAACTGGTGCATTTAGGCTGAGTACAGTGGCTCAAGCCTTTTAATCCCAGCATTTTGGGAGGCTGAGACAGTAGGATCATTGAGGCCAGAAGTTAACGAGCAGCCTGGGCAATAGTGAGAGCCCCATCTCTACAAAATTAAAAAAAAAGAAAAAATCTGGCCATGGTGGCTCATGCCTGTTGTACCAGCTACTAGAAAGGCTGAGGCAGGAGGATCCCTTGAGTCCAGGAGTTCACGACTGCAGTGAACACCAGTGCACTCCAGCCTGGGCAATGAAGTGAGATCCTGTCTCTAAAAAATAAATTTAATAAAACTCCCCAAAGTGAGTAAATCTAGACCACTGACATTCAAAGAGATTAATGATATAGGTGGATTATCTTCTACCATATTCTATGCTGCTTTTAACTTGTTGCCCTTGTTCTTTGCTATTTTTTGTCTTCTACATTTTTTCTGCTTTTTGTGATTTTAATTGAGAACGTCATGTTTTGTTTTTCTTCTTTCTTAGCGTATCAGATGTACTTCCTTATTTACTTTTTTGGTTTTTCTTAGATTTTGCAATATACATTTACAAGTAATCCATGTACACGTTTGAATAATACTGTATTCACAGGTAGTCTGAGTAGCTTATAATAGGAAAATAATCCTAATTCCTCCCCCCTTTTCCTTGTAACATGGCTGTCATTCTTTTCACTTACATATATATGCACATGTAAGTATATATAATGGAATATAAGTTGTTATTATTATTTTAATAAACTGTTATATATTAGATTAATGTAGAATAAAGAAAATAAGAGTTTTTATTTTACCTTCACTTGTTTCTTCTTTGGTGCTCCTTCTTTCTTGTATGGACCTGAATATCTAAATCATATTATTCATCTTCTCTCTAAAGATCTTCTTTAAACACATCTTCCAAAGTAGGTCTAGTGGCAACAAATTCCATCATTTTTTTTTAGAAAAGTTTTTATTTCTTCTTCACAATTGATGGGCAATTTTACAGGGTAAAGAATCCTAGGTTGATTTTTTTTCTCTTAACGTTAAAATGTCAGTGTACTCTCTTCTTGCTTGCATAATTTCTAAGGTGAATTAGGATATAATTCTTATTTTTTTCGTCATAGCTAAAATAATTCTTACTTTCGTTTTTCCCCTCTGGCTTCTTTCAGAATTTTTTCTTAATTTTTGATTTTTATGTAATTGACAATAATATGCTTAGGTGTAAGGTTTTGGGGTTTTTTGTTGTTGTTGTTTATTGATCCCAGTTGATGTTTTCTGAGCTTCCTGAATCTGTGATTTGGTGTCTGACATTAATTTGGAAAAATTCTCAGCTATTATTCTTTCAAAACTTCTATCCTTCTATCTTCTCCTTCTGGTATAGTTATTAAATATATGTTATACTTTTTGTGGTTGCCTCACAGTCCTTTGATATTCTGTTCTTTTTGCCAGTCTTTCAGAAGAGACCATTTAACTTGCTTTCCAATCTGAATGACTTTATTTCTTTTGCTTACCTATTTTTTTTCTGTCTGGAACTTTCTGTACTATGTTGAATAGAAAGGTTAAAGCAGGTATCCTTGCCTTTTTTCTGATGTTAGAGAAAGGGCTTTCAGTTTTCCATTAATTGAGTATGATATTTGCTGTGGAATATATATATATATAGCCATTTGTATATTTTGTGGTGTCTAGGTGTTTTTGTTTTGCTGAGTGTTTTGACCATGAAAGTATGCTACATTTTGTCAAGTGCTTTTCCTACACAATTTCAGATAATTATGAGTTTCTTTTTTTTTCTTTCTGTTAATGCGGTGAACTACATTGATTAATTATTGTATGTTGAATCATTATTGGATTCAATAAATAAATGCTACTTGATTACTATGTAATCCTTTTGGTAAGCTGCTAAATTTAGTTTCCTAATATTTTTTGAGAATGTTTGCATGAATGTTCGTAAGAGTTATTGATCTTCAGTATTTTCTTCTTATAGTGTCTGTTTTGACCTTGGTTGTCATAGTATTGCTGGCTTCATAGAATCAGTTAAGAAGCATTCTCTCCTCTTCTACTTTTTGAAAACATTAGAGAAGGATGGGTGCTAGTTATTCTTCAAAGGTTTGGTAGAATTTATCTGTTATGCCATCAGATCCAAGACATTTTTGTCAAGAGATTTTTTATAACTAAAACAATCTTATTACTAATTATGTCCATTCAAATTTGCTATTTCTTCATGATTTATTTTTGGTAGTTTCATGTTTCTAGGAAATTGTTGATTTCATCTAGAGTGTCTAATTTGTCATATAATTGTTTATGGTACACTTTTATAATTATTTTATTTCTGTAGAATCAATAGTAATGTCCTCACTTTTATTTCTGATTTTAGCAATTTCAGTCTTACCTCATATTCTCATTTAGTTTAGTTAAGGATTTGTCAATTTTTTTGATCATTTCAAAGAATCATCTTTCAGTTTTATTATTTTATCCTGTTTTTCTATTTTTTTTTTGTTTATCTCTGTTCTCTTTATAATCTCCTTCTTTATTCTACCACTGGGTTTAGTTCGTTCTTTTTTTTTTTTTAAGTTCCGTAAGTTGTAAACTTAGGTTGTGATTTGAGAATTTTCTTATTTTTTAAGGTAAGCATTTAGAGCTATAAATTTGTCCTCTGATATTCCTTGCACTTTTTCTTCTAAGTTTTACTGTGCTGTTTTCCATTTTTCTCTAAGTATTTTCTGATTTCCATTGTGATGTTTTCTTTGATCCATTTGTTTTTTAAAGTGTTGTTTAATTTCCACAATTCTGTGAATTTTATGGTTTTACTTTTCTTATTGATTTCTAATTTCATTTTTTTTGTGACCAGAGAAGACACTTTATCTAATATCTACCTTTGTAAATGTATTGAGACTTGATTTTTGGCCTAATAAATGGTCTAGCCTGGCATCTCAAGATCACGCACTTGATTAGAAATGTGTGTTCTGTTATTGTCGGATTATTTTTAAATGTTTAAGAAGGATTGGTGCTAGTTATTCTTTAAATGTTTGGCAAATTTTAACAGTTAAGCCATCAGACCCACGGCTTTTGTCAGGAGACTTTTGATGATGGACTCAATATCATGCCTAACTATAGATCTGAAGTGCTAGTTTATTGTATCGTTTAAGTCCTCTATTTCCTTATCATGTTTGGTTTGTTTTATTCATTATTTAGTATGGGATATTGAAGTCTCCAACTATTATCATAGACCTGTCTATTTCTCCCTTTCGTTTGTAGGCTTT
This sequence comes from Homo sapiens, assembly GCF_000001405.40. Taxonomy (NCBI): domain Eukaryota; kingdom Metazoa; phylum Chordata; class Mammalia; order Primates; family Hominidae; genus Homo; species Homo sapiens. Next base: position 98,853,002 of record NC_000011.10, on the reverse strand, counting down.
TGTTTTATATATTTTGATAACCTGGCATTAGATGCTTATATTTTTGTAATTATATATTCTTGATATATTGGAACTTTTATTAATGTAGGATGTCCTGTATTTCTTGTAACCTTTTATGTTTTAAAGTCTATTTGCCCGAAGTCTAGTAGCCACTGCTGCACTTTTTTGGTTGCTGTTGCATGGAATCTATTTTTCCATCATTTCACTTTCAACCCATTTGTGTCTTTGGATCTAAATTGACTCGTTTTTAGCCAGAATATAGTTGGAACATGCTTATTTTTTAACATATTCCGTCACTCTGCTGTAGAGAACAAGGTAAAATTTATCCTTCCCCTCTGAAGGTTTGTCTAAAAAAAAAACACAAAAAACAGATTAACTGGAGAAAAGGCATACAAATTATCTTAATGTGTACATGAGAGGCTTCAGAAAAAATGTCCATTTTTATGCTGAGCTCAACAAAGTATGGATAGCCATGTATACATATGATTGGACCAAAAGAGTATCATCGAATGTTAATGGACTAAGCATGGAAACACAGCAAGGCCTCTCTGTCTGTCTAGATTTTTGGCCTCTCTAGGCATGCATTTCTTCCCTCTGGGTATGGGGCAAGACCTTATCTGGAATGTTTTTTTTGTTTGTTTGTTTGTTTGTTTTTGAGACGGAGTCTTGCTCTGTCGCCCAAGCTGGAGTGCAGTGGTGTGATCTTGGCTCACTGCAAGTTCCGCCTCCCGGGTTCACGCCTTTCTCCTACCTCAGCCTCCCTAGTAGCTGGGACTACAGGTGCCTGCCACCACACCTGGGTAATTTTTTGTATTTTTAGTAGAGACTGGGTTTCACCGTGTTAGCCAGGATGGTCTTGATTTCCTGACCTCATGATCGGCTGCCCGCCTCGGCCTCCCAAAGTGCTGGAATGGTTTTATCACTGCAGTCAAACAAGGTAGGTCAGATAATTCCATTATGACCATTTTTTGCACAGAAATGCAAAGGGAAAGTTAGAGTAATCTTTTTAGGTTTTATAGCTGGCTTTGGGGAAAAAGGCTCTGGTTTCTATGACCTGCCTTGGGGAAAGGGATTCTAGTTTCTATGGCTAGCCTTGGGAAACAATGGGACTGAGAGACACGAGGACAGAAGAACATCAAAGAAAAATGTTTGCTTTTGAGGCTGCTTCTGAGGCCCTCATATTAGGGTATTTTTTGTTTTCTGAGTCCCAAAACTATCTTTTGATTGGCAAGGCTAATCCATTTACATTTAAATATTTACTGACAGGAAGAGACTTACTTGCATCATTTTACTCTTTATTTTCTATATACCTTAAAGGTTTTTTTTGCCCCTCATTTTCTGCATTACTGTGTTGAGTTTAGTCGATTTTTTGTAGTGAAATATTTAAATTTCTCATTTACCTTTGGTATATATTCTATAGTTTTTTTCTTTGTGGTTACTATGGGGATTACATTAGCATTCTAAAGTTGTAACACCCTTATTTGAATTTATACCAGCTTAACTTCAATAACATACAAAATCTCTCTTCCTTTAATAGTTCTCACTTTTTTGGTTGTTGTTATCAAAATTACATCTTTATACGTTGTATGCTCCAAAATTAAAATTTATTTGAAATCATTAGTCTCTTGAACTATGTATAAATAAAATGGGAAGTCCAAAATCAAAGTTAAAATAATGTTAGCTTTTAGACTAATAATTGTTGCTTTTTAATGTATTAATTTCTTAAATTATGTAGCAAATAGTTTGAATAAATTCAAAATTATTGTTTGAATAAAATGAGTTTTTAAAATTGCCCATATACGTACCCTATTGAGATGTTTGCTTTGTCATGTGGCTTTAGGTTGTTGTCTAGTGTCATTTCATCCTGCAGGAATCCATTGGCCATTTATTGCCGGGCAATTGTAATGGTAACAAATTCCCTCAGAATTTTGTTTATCTGCAAATATCTTAGTTTCTTCCTCACTTTTCATGGACAGTTTGGCCATACATAAAATTCTTGTTTGACAGTTTTCTTTGGGATTTGAACTGTATCTGCACACTACCTTCTTATCTGCCAAGTTTCTGGTGGGCAATTTACTGATAATCTTAGTAGGAACACTTGTATGTAATAAGTTGCTTTCTTCTTGCTGCTTTCAAAACTATCTCTGGCTTTTCAAAGTTTGATTATAATGTATCTTTGTGTGGATCTCTTTTTACCTTCATCTTATTTGGAGTTTCTTCAGCTTCTTGGAAGTATATATGCATGTTTTTCATCAAATTTGGAAAGACTTTCACCATTATTGCTTCACATTTTCTCTTTCCTCCTTTTTCTGTTCTTCTAGGACTCCCACAGTGAGTATGTTTGTCCCCTTGATGGTGTCCCACAGGTTTTTTTGACTCTGTTTTTCTTCAATCATTTTTCCTTCTGCTCTTCATACACTAATTTTTATTGTGCTATTTTCAATTTTGTTGATTCTTGTTTCTGACGGTTCATATCTGCCTTTAAATTCCTGCAATGCATTTTTCTTTTTCTTTTTTTTCTTTTTTTAAAAAGGGGTTTGGCTCTTGTCACCCAGGCTGGAGTGCAGTGGCTCAATCTTGGCTCACTGCAACCTCCGCCTCCTGGGTTCAAGCGATTCTCCTGCCTCAGCCTCCTGAGTAGCTGGGGTTACAGGTGCCCAACACCACGCCCGACTAATTTTTTGTATTTTTAGTAGAAACGGGGTTTTGCCATGTTGGCCAGGCTGGTCTCAAACTCCTGACCTCAGGTGATCCACCTGCATCAGCCTCCCAAACTGCTGGGATTACATGTGTGAGCCACCACACCCGGCCGCAATGCATTTTTTTTTTTTTATTTCAGTTGCCGTACTTTTCAGCTCCAGGATTTTTTGTTTGTTTGTTTTCTTGTTAATTGTTGTAGGCTGTCTCTGTGCCTGAGTTGTAAACTTCATGTCTTCTAGGTTTTTTCTTTTTTTCTTTGTGTGTGTGTTTGTGTGTGTGTGTGTGTGTGTGTGTTTGTACGTTTGTTTTTTGAACCTGTGTCTTTCCCTGGGTATACACAGACATACTCTAATTTTCCCCATATATACCATTCCTTTTGAATGCCCTGTTCCTTACATTCTTGCTGCCCAAAAAGAAAACAAAAAAAACTGATGAGGGAGAATAAAGAGTGCTAGACCTTTAAATTCCCTCAAAGTCACTTGCAAAAATACAGGAAGGTGCCCACCTTTTTGTCTGGACCTCTGTGATCAGAAACAGCAATCAGTGATCACAGCACAGATCACTAATATTTGAAGGGCAAGGTTCTTTCTGCCCAGTCTGTCTTCCACAAACTGTGTTCAGGTTGCTCTCGGAACAAATTCACAGGTTCCTGCTACAGGGCTGGACATGGAACATCAGTGGCTTCTGCTGTGCTAAGATTATAATTGATGGAAATTAACTGCAATTGGCCTTCCAAGCCTTCCCCTGAAAGTTTTAAGGCCTCAGTAGATTCCACAGTTCCAAAATAGATACATCAGACAAAATCTGTCTGTGCAGTTGTTGTCTAGACAAAGAGACAGATTTCTGTTGCCCCTATTCTTTCTTATTCACCAAATTCTTCTTCACTAGGCTTTGAAGGTAAGCAGTACTTTTACCTTATCATGCAGTGCTCTACTCTTCTTTGCAATATGGGAAAGGGCAGGGCAGAGACTTTTATTATTTCAATTAGCCTCTAGAATGAGGAATTATTTACATGTACTTGTGGCATATATCTTACTCCATAATACTGATGCAGGATTTTTTGTTCCTTAGTTCACCTAAAATTCGGGTGGTCTCATGACCAGGAAAATTTAGGCATGTGGACACATTGAAGGGTGAGGAGGGAGGATTTATTAGGCAAAAAGAAAGCTCTCAGCAAAAATAGAAGGGGGGTCCTGCCAACAAGCTCTCACCTCACTGATTGGATACTAGGCCACCACACATGAGCTGAAGAGGTCAGGCTCCTCCCTCTGCATAAGGTGTGAATTCCTGGTGGCCCCACCCCATTCCCCCAGTGCATGTGGGCCTCCAGTCTGCTGTGGGCATGCCCATTGAAGACCTTGTGCAGATTCCCTTATCTGCAAAAAAACATGTGGTGGAAACACTTGCGGGGCAGGTCAGAGATTCCCCAGGGACCCTTCTTTATCTGCCTAGGCATTAGTCTGCTTCCTGCATCTATCAATAGTGTCAAAATAAAATTTAATAATTTATAGAAGTATCAGTCTTAGAACATAATGATTCTCCAAAAACTTTTTGTTTGTTGTTGAGATACTGTCTTTCTCTGTTGTCCATGCCAGAGAGCAGGGGTGCAATCTTGGCTCACTGCAACCTCCACCTCCCAGGTTCAAGCAATTCTCTTGTCTCAGCCTGCCAACTAGCTGGGATTACAGGCATGTGCCACCACACCCAGATAATTTTTGTATTTTTAGTAGAGATGGGGTTTCACCATTTTTGGCAGGTTGCTCTTAAACCCTTGGCCTCAAGTCATCCACACACCTGAGCACCCCAAAGTGCTGGGATTACAGCCATGAGCCACCATACCCAGCCGAAGACTTTAGTGTAGCTATATTGCTAACTAGATTACAGTCAGAAAATAACAAATAACAGACTATTTATTAAAATTAAGCAACAGGCAAACAAATTGTTGTTGAAATGAAATTTGATTTGGATTTTTTTTCTCTACATACTTAACACTTGCTTCACACAGTAGAAGGTTTTAATCTATTGAAATAAACAGATGTGTAAGATTATAGAAATGCAATTACATTAGAAATCATCCAGGTTAAGCGTCTCAATTTACCAATGGAAAAATAAATGAGAACAGAAGTTAAAATATTTCTATAGTGTGTACACACACAGAGAGAGACACACACACACACTGTGAAAGTATATGGTTAATTATTTCCTAGAAATTCTGTCTTCTGGTTTCTAGTCCAGAGCTCCTTTTTATCACACACAATTGATTATAGTTTTAGATAACTAGAAGATTATGTGTGCCAAATACAGGGTCTTGTTTAAATAGAAAAAAAGGGAAATAACATCAAACAGAGAAGAAAATAAAAATCTGTCACTAACATACATCAAAACCTCTGATTATTTGGAGTAGGTGGCCTACTATATGGCAGACTCTTAATAAATGTTTAGTCAAACTAACAATTGCAATAATAGGAGAAACAAATAACAATAATTAAAGCAATCTACCACTGACTGATTCATCTTCTCTAAAATTAGAAGAAATGTGAGCCCATTACAAGACAGGGATGTTGAAGGGTATAAAATATTAAAATTTCTGAAAGACAGCATCTGGTAAATAGTTATTAAAATATTTTTTGTAATATGTCATTACTGTTATGTGTGTGTGTGTGTGTGTGTGTGTGTATACTCTTACTTTATTTGTAAATAAACTCCTTACAGAATGATAAATATTTATACGACTTTGTTTTTGGTTTTATCTTGTTTTGATTGTTTTTCTTTCCCTTATATGTTCTTCATAGGGTACATGGATTTAACACTGCTGACACAATTACCATGGGTGTTCATGTTGGAGCCAGTTTGGAGATAGGTATAGAGCTTAATACAGCACAGCTGGCAGCAGAAAATCAATATCACCAGGCAAATTAAGCTACCATAACTCTGAAAAGAGACAGAACCTAGAAAACTAAAGCCATAGAAAAAGCAGGGATGTGGAGTTGGTGGGGTGGGTGAGGTGTGGTGGGAGGGATATAGATTCTTGGAGGCTGCCAAATGTTGAAAGAAATAAGCACTGAAAGTACTATAGAGGGTCTACCCTTAAGATTTTATTATCATTGGTTTTCTGATATGCATTCGTCTATTTAATACCCTGTCTTCCTATCAATCTATCTCATTTTTCATAAGTCCAAAGCAACTTGCATACATCAGTATACTTCCCCTTAAATACTAAGCTGCATGCCTCTTTTGAAAGATTAGGTTCACTTTTCAGTGGGGAAATATTTTTTCAATTAAATTTAAAAAATTTATTTGACTATTTTTGGTCCTAAAATTATATGGGTTAAAGTATTTGGCTGTAGGATATCATATTTTTCTTGAAGAATTTAATAAGCAAACTTCAAGATTAAATTTTAGTTACGGTTAACTTACTGGCAACCTAACAATGAAAGATATTCATGGCCAGGCGTGGTGGCTCATATCTGTATTCCCAGCACCTTAGGAGGCCGAAGTGGGCAGATCATTTGAGCCTAGCAGTTCGAGAACAGCCTGGGAAACATGGGAAAACCCATCTCTACCAAAAATACTAAAGGCCAGTGTGGTGATGAGCGCCTGTAGTCTCAGCTACCACCTATAAGGCTGAGGTGGGAAGATCACCTGAGTGATCTGGGAGGTCAAGGCTTCACTGAGCCATGGTCAAGCCACTGCATTCCAGCCTGGGTGACAGAGTGAGACCTCCGTCACCCACACAAAAAGAAAAAAACAGGTATTTATGGTACTGTAATATAAATAAGAATTACTTTATTAACACCAACTATGATGTATGAATAGTTCAAGCAACCTACTGAATTTTCTAAATGTTTTATATTAATTTACTTATTTCCCCAAAATCTCTGTGAATAAAATTTGGGAGAAATCATCAATTAAAGTTTCCTTATGTGACAAGGCAGAGAAAGAAAATATAGAGTTTATAGTTCAGTGGTTGGAGAATTGCAGACTTTGGACTAGAACCTAAATTCTGTATCACAGAAACTTGGAAATAATTTATTTCATGTAAGGTAATGTACATGAAATAAACAATGTATAGTATATAAAAACTCATAGCCTAACTAACAACCATCTAAACAGAATAAAGGAGTGCTCTATAGTTGTATAAACCAGATAATTTTTAGGACAAGCTTAATTTCAAAGTATTAAATAAAACTTTTCTTGCAGCATTATGCACATAGTCTTTTGTACATAAATTACTTGAATACAAGTTATGTTTTCCTTATTGGACTATATATTCCCTGAAAGTGAGGGAAGTACAAGGAGCTAATTGTTATTGGTCACCTGGTTTTAATAGGTGTTTAGTATATGTTACACTAATTTCAACTTACTTGAAACAGTTATTATTATGTTCTTTTTCAAATAAGAAGCCTGTTGGTCAGAGGTTAAATAATATGGTCAAAATTATGTATGTAGTGAGTGGACCCTGATGGCCAAATAGAAGACCCAGCACTGATCATCCCCACTGCAAGGACACCAATTTAACAAAAATCTACACAAAAAGAGCACCTTCATAAGAACCAAAAATCAGGTGAGCACTAACACTACCTGGTTTTAACTTCATATTGATGAAAGATGCACTGAGGAGGGTAGAAGACAGTCTTGAATCGTCAATGCCACCACTACTCCCCTATCCCCTGAAACAGCCACATGGTACAGAGAGGAACTCTTTGCTTGGCAGATGGAGAGGACAGGGATTTCAAGACGCTGCATTAAATTGAGGGCTGCCCTGTCACAGCAGAAAGCAAAACCAGGCTGACCTCAGCTGATGCCCTCCCAAAAAGGCAGTATTTAAACTAGCCCTAACTAGAGGGGAATCGCTCATCCCAAGGGTCTGAACTTGATTTCTGGCAACCCTTGCCACCATGAGTGAAAGTACTCTGGGGCCCCAAATAAACTTGAAAGATAGTCAAGGCTACAGGACTACAAGTCCTAGGTGAGTCCAAGTGCAGAGATGTACTCAGAGCCAGTGGACTGAGACACCAGCCAAGGTGGCTAAGGAATTGCTTGTGCACCACCATTCTCACAACCTCATGCTGCACAACTCGTGGCTCCAAAAGAGACCCTTTCCTTTCTGTTGAATAATGAAGAGAAAATTAGATGTTGTCACTCATCTCGGATACCAGCTCAGCCACAAAAGGATAGACCACCAGTCAGAATCATGAGGCTTATTTTCCAGGCCCTAGCTCCAATATGACATTTCTAGATACACCCTGGGCCAGAGGAGAAGCCACTACCTTGAAGGGAAGGACACATCACCTGCGACTAAAGAGCCCTTGGTCCCTGAATAACAGGCAGCTATATCCAGGTAGTATGTTGTGGGCATTGGGTGAGACTCTGAGACTAGCTGGCTTCAAGAAGTAAGACTCAGCATATTCACTGTTGTAACTATAGGAAAAATTCCTTCTACTTAAGAAAAGTGGAGTGAAGAGTAAAGCGTATTTTGTCTTGCACCTTAGGAACTAGCTCATCTACAGAGGTGTGGCACACTAAGCCAGCTCTTGGGGTTCCTGATTCCAGGTCTTGGCTCTTGGTTCTTCGATGGTATTCCTGGACTTGCCCTGTACCAGAGGGGAGCCCACACCCCTGAAGGGTGAGTTTCATGCCAGGCAGCATTCACCACAGCTGACTGAAGAGTACTTGGGACTTAAATTAATATCAGCAGTAGCCTGGCAGTACTCCCCATGGGCCAGGGGTGGCAGTGGCCATGGATAAAGCTCCTCTGCCTGTGGAAAGGTGAGGGAAGAGTGGGAAGGACTGTGTCGTGTGCTTCGAGTGTCAGCTTAGCCAGAGTAAAATAGAATAGCCGGTAAGCATCTAAGGTTTTTGATTCCAGCCCCTGCCTCCTGGACAGAATCTCTGGACCTGCACAAGGCCTGGGGAAATTTGCTATCCCTAAGGGACGGACATAAGCCTCACTGGCTTCGTTACCTGCTGATTGTAGATCACTAGGGTCTTGAGCAAACAGAGGCAGTAACCAGATACCGATTACAGTAGGCCTTGGGTGAAATCCAGTGCTGTTCTGGCTTCAAGTCTAACTCCGCACAGTGACCCAGTGAGAGTGGCCACCAGGGTGCTTGTGTCACTTCACTCCCAGCTCTGAACAAGAGAGAGAATCTATTTGTTTGGGAGAAAGTAAGGGAAGAAAACACGAGTTTCTGCCTGGTAACCCAGAGAATTCTTCTGAAACTTATTTAAGGCTATCAAGATGTTACCTCTAGAAGTCTGCTAGAACCACAGCATTACAGGGCTTGGTATGACAACTAATGCAGATACAGCTTAGAATACAAAACACAAGTCATTTATAATACTTGGAAAGCCTTCCCAAGAATGATGAGAACAAACAAGCCCAGACTCTGAAGACTACAATAAGTATCTAACTCTTCAATGGCTAGACACAGATGAAAATCCATAAGCATCAAGATCATAGAGGAAAACACGACCTCAACAAATGAACTAAATAAGGGAACCAGGAACAAATCCTGGAGAAACAGAAATATGTGACCTTTTAGACAGAGAATTCAAAATAGCTGTTTTGAGGAAACTCAAATTCAGGATAACACAGAGAAAGAATTCAAAATTTTATCAGATAAATTTAACAAAGAGATTGAAATAATCAAAAAGAATCCAGCAGAAATTCTGGAGTTGAGAAATGCAACTAACATACAGATGAATGCATCAGTCTTTTACTAGCAGAATTCATCAGGCAGAAAAAAGAATTAGTGAGTTTGGAGACATGCTATTTGAAAGTATACAGTCAGAGTAGAACAAAGAATAAAAAACAATTAAGCATGCCTATAGGATCTAGAAAATAGCCTCAAAATGGCAAATCTAAGAGTTAGTGAGATTAAAGAGAAGGTAGAGAAAGAGATAGGAGTAGCAAGCTTATTCAAAGGCATACAAAAGAACTTCTCAAACCTAAAGAAATATATCAATATCCAAGTATGGAAAGATTGTAGGACACCAGTCAGATTTAACCCAAAGAATACTACCTCAAGGCATTAAATAATCAAACTTTCAAAGACCCAAGATTTAAAAAAATCCTAAAAGCATTAAGATAAAAGAAACAAATAACATACAATGGAGCTCCAATATGTATGGCAGCAGATGTTTCAGTGAAAACCTTATGGGACAAGAGAGAGTGACATGACATATTTAAAGTGGTGAAGACAAAAACTTTACCCTAGACTAGTTTATCTGCTGATATTATCCTTTAGACATGAAGACTTTATTAATAAAGGCTTTTCCAGACAAACAAAAGCTAAGGATTTTGTCAACACCAGACCTGTCTGACAGAAAATACCAAAGAGAATGCTTCATTCAGTAAGGAAAGTATGTGAATAAACCATGAGAAGTCACCTGAAGGTGCAAATCAAACTGGCAATAGGAAGTACAGGGAAAAACACAGGATATTATAATATTGTAAAGGTTGTTTGCAAACTACTCTTAAGCAGAAAAATTAAATAATAAACCAATAAATATAAGTACAGCCACATTTCAAGACAGAGAAAGTAGAATAAGATAGAAATAGAAACAACAAAAATTTTTAAAGTGAGGGGATGAAGAGTTTTGATTAGTTTTCTATTTGCTTGTTTGTTTATGCAAACAATGTTAAGTTGTTATTAGCTTAAACTAATGGATTATAAGATAGTATTCCCAAGCCACATGATAAGCTCAAATCAAAAACATACAATGGCTATACAAAAAAAATTTTAAAAAAGAAATTAAAGAATACCACTAGAGAAAATTGTCTTCATAAAAGAAAGACAGGAAGGAAGGAAACAAAGAAGAGAAGACCATAAAATAACCAGAAAACAAATAACAAAATGGTCAGAGTAAGTCATTACATATTCATAATAACATTAAATGTAAATGGACTAAACTCTCCAATCAAAAGACATAGAGTGGCTGAATGGAAAAAAAAATGAGAAATAATGATCTGTCCCCTTTCAGAAACACACTTCACCTAAAAAGACACACATAGATTGAAAATAAAGTCATGGAAAAAGATATTCCTTGCCAATGGAAGCCAAAAAAGAGCAGGAATAGTTATATCAGACAAAATAGATGTGAAGACAAAAACTAGGAAAAGAGAAAAAGTAGGACACTACATAGCCATAAAAGGGTCAATTTAGCAAGAGGATATAACAATTTTAAATGTATATGCACCCAATAGTGGAGTACACAGATATATAAAGCACATAGTATTAGAGCTAAAGAGAGAAAGAGATACCAAAACAATAGTATCTCGGGACAACACCCCACTTTCAGCATTGGACTGATCTTCAGACAGAAAATCAACAAAGAAATATCAGATTTAACCTACACTATAGACCAAATGGACCTAAAGGATATTTACAGAAAATTTCATCTAATGGCTGCAAAATACACATTATTTTCCTCAGCACATGGATATGTCTCAAGGATTAATTGTATGGTAGGTTACAAAACAAGTCTTAAAACATTCAAAAAAGTGAAATAATATCAAGCATCTGCTCTGACCACAAAGGAATAAAACTACAAATTAAGAACAAGGGAAATGTTGAAAATTATACAAACACATGGAAAATAAACAATATATTCCTGAACGACCTGTGGGTCAATTAAGATATTAAGAAGAAAATCGACAAATTCATCGAAACAAATGATAATGGAAACATAACATAGAAAACCTATGAGAAACAATGAAAGAAGTACTAAGAAGGAAGTTTATAAGTGCCTACATCAAAAAAGAGGAAAAATTTCAAATAAACAACCTAACAAATGCATTTTAAATAACTAGAAAGGCAAGAGCAAAGCAATATCCAAAATTAGTAGGAAAAAAGCAATAATCAAGATCAGAGCACAAAAAAATTAATTTGAAGAAAAGAGATACAAAAATCAATGAAACAAAAAGCTATGTTTTTAAAAAAAATAATAATAAACAAAATTGACAAACCTTTAGGAAGACTAAGAAAAAAGGTCATGCATGGTGGCTCCTGCCTGTAATCTCAACACTTTGGGAGGTCGAGGCAGGCAGATAGCTTGAGGCAAGAGTTCAAGACCAGCCTGGGCAACATGGTGAAACCTTGTGTCTACTAAAATTACAAAAAATTAGCTGGGCATGGTCGTGCATGCCTGTAATCCCGCTACTCAGGAGGTGAAATCACAAGAATCACTTGAACAGAGAAGGCCAAGGTTACAGTAGCTGAGATCATGACACTGCACTCCAGCCTGGGTGACAGAGCAAGACTCTGTCTCAAAAAAAAAAAAAAAAAAAAAAAAGAAAAAAAGGAAAGAGAAGAGAGAGGGAGAGGAGAGAGAGACAGAGACAGAGAGAGAGAGAAGACCAAAATAAATAAAATCAGAGATGATAAAGGAGACATTACAACTGATATTGCAGAAATTCAAAAGATTAGTGGCTACTATGAGCAACTATATGCCAATAAATTGGAAAATGTAAAAGAAGCACATAAATTCCTAGATTTATACAACTTACTAATATTAAACCATAAAAAAGTTGAAAACCTAAACAGACCAATAAAAAGTAATGACATCAAAGCTGTAATACAATGACTCCCAGTAAAGAAACCCTGGGACCCTATGGCTTCACTGTTAAATTATTCTGAACATTTATAAAGAACTAATACCAATCCTACTCAAACTATTCCAAGAAACAGAAGATGAGGGAATACTTTCACAGTCATTCTACTAGACCAGTATTACCCTGATACTAAAACCAGACAAATACACATCAAAAATGAAAAGTATAGATCAATATCTCTGATGAATATTGATGCAAAAATCCTCAAAAAATACTAGCAAATAAAATTCAACAATACATCAAAAATTTCATTCATCTGGACCAAGTGGGATTTATCCCAGAGATGCAAGGATGGATCGACATACACAAATCAATGTGATACATCATATCAACAGAATTAAGTACAAAAACCATACGATCATTTCAATTGTTGTGTAAAAAATATGATAAAATTCAACATCCCTTCATGATTAAAACCATCAAAAACTGGGTATAGAAGGAACATACCTCAATATAATAAAAGCCATATACAACAGATCCATAGCTAGTATACTTAAGAGGAAGAACTGAAAGCCTCTAAGATTGGTAACAGGGCAAGGATGCCCACTTTTATCACTATTATTCAACATAGTACAGGAAATTCTAGCTAAAGCAATCACACAATTTAAAAAAATTAAAGGGCATGCAAATTGGAAAGACAGAAGTCAAATTATCCTTGTTTACAGATGACATAATCTTATATTTGGAAAAACCTAAAGACTCACCAAGAAACTATTAGAACTAATAAACAAAAGCAGTAAAGTGCAGAATACAATATCAACATACAAATATTAGTAGTGTTTCTATATGCTAACAGGGAACAATCTGAAAAATAAATCAAGAAAGTAATCCCATTTATAATAGCAAATAAAATGAAATAAATACAAATGTAATAAAATACTTGCAAATAAAATAAATACAAACAAAATGAAATATGTAATTATTAAACAAAGAAAAGATCTCTATAATGAGAACTATAAAACACTGATACAAGGAATTGAACACAATTAAATGGATAGCTATTTCACATTCATGTATTGCAATAATCAATATTGTTAAACTGTACATACTTCCCAAAGCAATCTACAGATTTAATTCAATCTCTATTAAATACCATTGCTATTCTTTATATCAATAGAAGAAAAACTAAAATATATATATAACTATAAAAGACTCAGAATAGCCAAAGCAATCCTAAGCAAAAAAAAAAAAAAAAAAAAAAAAAAAAAAACAACTGGAGGAGTTTAACCTGCCTTTAAATTATAGTACAGAGGTATAGTAACCAAAATGGCATGGTATTGGCATGAAAACAAAGACATAAATCAGTAGAACAGAATAGAGAACCCAGAGATAAATCCATAAATTTACAGTGAACTCAATTTTGCCAGTGTCTCCAAGAACATGTACTGGGGAAGGGGCAGTCTCCTCAATAATTGTAAAAATTGGATATTATATGGAAAACAATGAATCTAGACCCCTATGTCTTGTTATATACAAAAATCTAATCAAAATGGATTAAAGACTTAAATCTAAAACCACAAACTATGAAAGTATTGAAAAGAAAATATAGGATTAACTCTCCAGGACACTTGGCAAAGATTTCTTGTATAGTACCCCACAAGCAAATGCAACTGAAGCAACAAGTGAATAAATGGGATCCGAACAAGTTAAAAAGCTTCTTCACAGCAGAGGAAACAATCAACAAAGTGAAGACAACCCACAGAATGGGAGAAAATATTCACAAACTACCCATCTGATGAGGTATTAATAACCAGAATATACAAGGGGCTCAAGCAACTCAAGAGAAAACAATCTAATAATCAGATTTTAAAATGGGCAAAAGAGGCCAGGTGTGTTGGCTCATGCCTGTAATCCCAGCATTTTGGGAGGCCAATGTGGGCAGATCATGAGGTCAAGAGTTCAAGACCATCCTGGCCAACATGGTGAAAACTCGTCTCTACTAAAAATGCAAAAAATAGCCAGGTGTGGTGGTGGGTGCCTGTAATCCCATCTACTCAGGAGGCCGAGGCAGGAGAATTGTTTGAACCCGGGAGGCAGAGGTTGCAGTGAACCGAGATCATGCCATTGCACTCCAGCCTGGGTGATGGGCTGAGACCCAGTCTCAAAAAATAAAAAAATGCAAAAGATCTAATAGAAAGTTCTCAAGAGATGACACAGAAATGACAAACAGGCCTATGGAAAGGTGCTCAACATCAATGATCATCAGATAAATGCAAATCTAAACTACAATGAAATACTATCTCACCCCAATTAGAATGTCGTTTATCCAAAAGGCAGTAAATGCTGGGGAGGATGTGGAGAAAAGGGAACTCTTGTACACTGTTGGTGGGAATGTAAATTAGTACAACCACCATGGAGAACAGTTTGGAGGTTCCTCAAAAAAAGTGAAAATAGAGCTTCTATAAGATCCAGCAATTCCACTCCTAGGTATATACCCAAAAGAAAGGAAATTGGTATATCTAAGAGACATCTACGCTTCCATATTTATGCAGCACTATTCGTTATAGCCAAGATCTGGAAGCAACCTAAGTGTCCATCAACAGATAACTAGATAATAAAAATGTGCTACATACACCCAATGAAGTACTATTCAACCATAAAAAAGAATGAGATCCTGTCATTTGCAACAACGTGGATGTAACTGGAAGTCATTATGTTAAATGAAATAAGCCAGGCACACAAAGACATGCTTCATATATTCTCATTTATTTGTGGGAGCTAAAATTTAATATAGTTGAGTATCATGGAGACAGAGAGTTGAAGGGTGGTTTTCAGGCTGGGAAGAGTACTGGGGGATAGTGGTAAATAGGGATAATTAATGGGTACCAAGGAATAGTTAGAAAGAATAAATAAGACCTAGTATTTGCTAGCACAATGGGTGACTATAGCCAAATATAATCTAATTGTACATTTTAAAATAAGTAAACATATATAGATTGTAACACAAATGATAAATGATTGAGGTGATAGATAACCCATTTATCCTGTTGTGATTATTATGCATTGCATGCCTGTGTCTAAATATCTCAGGTAACCCATAGATCTATATACCTACTGTGTACCCACACAAATTAAAAAATTTTTAAATAATAAAATTAAAAATACATATGTAGGAGGATATGGGGTCAGAATGTGAAAGGATTTCTGTTTAATTCCACAGCCCTAAAATTTGTACCGTTACTTGATATTTATCTATAATCTCATTATCTAAGGACTATACTTTAAAAAAAATCTTTTTATATGCCACAGAACCTATAAGACTTTTCACTGTAAAATGAGAATGTAAACGTGCACATGTGTGTTCACTGCAGCAGTATTCACAATAGCAAAGACATGGAATCAACCTAAATGCCCATCAATTGTAGATTGGATAAAGACTATGTGGTACATATACACTATGGAACACTACACAGCCATAAAAATGAGATCATGTCCTTTGCAGGAACATGAATGGAGCTGGATACCATTATCCTTAGGAAACTAACTCGGGAACAGACAACCAAATACCGCATGTTCTCACTTAAAGGTGGGAGCTAAATGATGAGAACACATGCACACAGAGAGGAGAACCAAAGACAATGGGGCCTATCTGAGGGTGTGGAGGGTGGAGGGAGTGAGAGGATCAGGAAAAATAACTAATGGGTACTAGGCTTAACACCTGGTGACCAAATAATCTATTTAACAAATCCTTGTGACACGAGTTTACCTACATTACAAACCCGCACATGTACCCCTGAACTTAAAATTAAAAAAAAACAACTGAAACTTTCTATATCAGTTTTATCATCTGTTTTGCCTCTTATCAATGCTTTAGAGTAAGTAATAGTACTCGCATTCCCACATACTTGAGGCATTGCTTCATTTTGCCATTCACCATGTTTTATAAAGAAAATATCTGTGAGTGTATGTGTATACTTAAATGATTAAATGAAAATGTAATTACAGGGTTGATGGACTATTTTTGAAGTTCAGTGTCCAGTATTTTGTCTTAGACATAATATGTCCTTAGCTTATAATTACTGAAATGAAGATAACTTAGAGGATGGAAAACAAAATAGGTTGATATCTTGTATTGAGGACAGAGACCAGGTCAACCTTAGATAGGGCGGTGCCATCAAGATAGGCAATCCTGTGTAAGTGTTAAGGAGTATGGAGTAAGGTATGGTATTTCTTATTATTGGTTTTTTTTTTTTTGGCCTTTACACATATATCACAGCAGAATTTATGAATTCAAAAAGAGATGATTCATCCTGTCATCTCCTTGAACACCACTGTACCTTTAGTGAACAAAGCTGTCAACAGTTTTAACAGCCCTGTAAACTCAGGCAAAAGTCATTCAATACCATTTCAGCCTGATTCTAATCATTTGTAAAAAGCTTACTGTTCATAATGAACACCTATAAAATGAAAGCTGGTGTTTTCAGAGGAGACTTTAGTTTTCACTGTGTTTGTTTATCTCCGTTTCCCCATGATGTAAACACAACCTGTTTTTAAGATGTCAAAAACCTATAATGATCAACAGTGTTATGTGCATTAAAACACTTAGTTTCCACAGACCTTAAATAATATATTGCTACAAGGCAGAGTGTTCGTGCTGTTGAATTGCATTAGATGTATTACATTTTCCCAATATATGGATTTACAAATACATCTTAACATTGATTTAACCACGTAATAAATTCTCCTTTGCTTTAAATGCAAGAACATTTTTATAGGAAGCAATTTTAAGTAAATATGTTATTTTTGTGAGTGTGTTTATATATGTAAATGTAACTCCAGTGTTGCATTTTTACTTTTCTGTCTTAGAGTACTGCATACTTGTAAATATTTTTGTAGATTTTATTAAATTCATAAGACCATAAAATTAGGGTGAATCTAGGAAGAGATACTATTTTAAGGAAAAATACTTGAGGCAGAGAGTCTTATATCCCTTTGCAAACTGTTTTTGGCACTTAATTTTTATCTTAAATATACTTTTGGTAAACAAATGGCTTGGGGACAATTTGTTTTGCATCATAGGAACATTAAAGAAGAAACTTTAAAACTCTTAACTGCCTACAAACCTCCTTCACTAGCAGCAGCTACATTAGGAAATGAAAAAACAAATAGTTAAGAAATAATTGCATCAGGCAGCAACAGTGACGCAGTCTCCCCTGTGAAAGCTGACCTCGCAGCAAGGTCAATGGGATTAGTTAATGCAGAGTGTCTTTCTCCAATAATAAAAGAGACAACACACTAGCAATATACATGCAGGAGGAGGTAAAATATGTTATGCTATATGTACATACATTACATGTATATGTATAATAAATAAGTGTATGTTCATGCTCAAATACACCCTGAAATGATATTTTAAAAATCTACTTCAAAGACCTGAGTTTCAATTTTTAATAATCCTATAAAGAATTGAGTTGTTCATCTGAAAACCATTAACAATATGTATTAAAAATTACTAACCTAAGAAAAAGTAACTTATTAAACGTAAAAATTCAAGTGTTTTTATTTGAAAGCAACAGATAATATCTAACTTATTATGTGAAAGAGAGTTTACTGAAACTGTGTAAGAGTAATTCATAAAGTTAAGTAAAAAACAAAAATGTCCTCAAACTTGTTCCCCTCCTCTACAGTTCAGTCACCACACAGCAATAACATCAAGACTGATGCTTTTGAAGTATGTCTCAATCGCTTTCCCTTTTGCGTAAAACCTTAATTAATGTGGTTTCCTATGAGAAGTAGAAGAAAATCCACTTGTTTTACACAGCTACTACCACCCTACTTGACCTGTTCTCTCTTTCTGCCTCCCTGACTACATTCCACAACCATAGTATGTCATCAACACTGACACTCTTTCACTTGCCGGAAAATCTCTGTCTTATTCTCATATTAGGCCTTCGCAAGTTTTGTTCCAGTTTTCTGGAATACTCTGCTCATAGATCTCCTTAAATCTGACTCTTTCTCATTATCTAGATATCAGCCCAAGCACAATATCCTGGAGAGACCTTTCCTATCCACTCAAGTAGATGATATCCTATCCTTTGTCACTCAAGACCTTATTTTTTTCTTTTAAATCTCTGGCTAACACTTATTGCTTTTCTCATTTTTATTTTGTTTTTAGGTTTATTGTTGCCTCTGTCTAACAGACTATAAGTTACGTGGACACAGGCTCTTTCTTTGGTTCTTTCGTGGTTTAATTACCGAGACTTACACTAAGGTATTTACTGACTATTTAATAAATATTTGTCCATTCATTCAACATTTTTCCTAAATGCCCACTATGTGGCAGGTCCTGTTTTAAGTGCTGTAGATATAGTAGCTTAAAAACAGGAATAAAATTCTCCTCTCATAAACTTCCGTTATATGGTGGTGACAGATAATAAATTTGTTGAATCGGTGACTCTAATAAGCATCAATGAGGACAGGATCCAACAGTTCTGAGTCTCTGTATAACTCTAGACAATTTTTAACTCCTGTAAGAGAATCTGATTGGCTTAGCTTTAGGTAGGTATCTCTAAATTAGGATCAAATAGCCACAACCCAGCCACAGACTTGGAAGACAACCTAATTTGTATTTACTTTATGGATACACATATACCCTTCTCCTACACAGGCAAAAATAATCCTGCCTAACAAAATTTAGCTATTGTAATGCAAATGAAAACACAATTGTCAGGTCTCTGATCAGAGGGCTACCAAATTGTCTCAAGTTGTCACATCCAGATATGAGTCATTCTCCTATCGGATCCAGGAATTTTATCCATTAACCTCTGAGTGGCTCTCATCTTGGCCTACTTATTCTGTAGCATTGCATTTCTTCAAACTACAATGAGTCATGCGTTTAACACTATTATTTCATAGTATATATAATCTTCAAAAGGGAGGTCATAGTTAACGGTAAACAGGAGGCCAGGTTTGGTGGCTCATGCCTGTAATCCGAGCACTTTGGGAGGCTGAGGCCAGAGGATCACTTGAACCTGGAGTTGACCCCAACCTGGGCAACATAAGGAGACCTCGTGTCTACTAAAAATGAAAAAGTAGCCAGGCATGGTGGGATGCACCTGTTGTTCCAGCTACTCAGGAGGCCCAAGAGGGAGAATCACTTCAGTCTGGGAGATCAAGGCTGCAGTGAATGACGATCTTGCCACTGCACTCCAGCCTGGGTGACAGAGCAAGGGCCTGTCTCAAAAAATGAATAAATAAATAGTAAACAGGAGGGGAATGTGTTGTACGATCAAACGTCTTGAAGTTCAAACATGTATTATGTTCATTATAAAATGACAGGGTAATGATCTAAAAGTACAGATGCAGAGTGAGGAGAAAATCAGTATCTTCTACTAGGCAGTTTCATAACATCAAGAGCTATATTATGTCTCTGCTGGCAAAATGGCTGGATCTCTTTTCTATAATTATTTTACACAATAGATCATCTCAAACTTACAGGAAAAATGTAGAAAATAATATAAAAGACAACTGTGTTTCCTCCATAGAGTTCAAATACATGTATGTTTTATACCATCCTTACTTCAGAGGACATTTTTCTTTTATAAATATATCCTAAATATATCACTGAATAGTTAATAAAAACTGACATTTTGCAAATTTTAAATTTATAGAAATTGTATCACCTGATATATGGGATTTGGCTATCTCCTTTTTCACCTCCAACATTAGACTGAAATTTATCTACGTTGATGCACATAGATTTAC
Source organism: Homo sapiens (assembly GCF_000001405.40). Taxonomy (NCBI): domain Eukaryota; kingdom Metazoa; phylum Chordata; class Mammalia; order Primates; family Hominidae; genus Homo; species Homo sapiens. Next base: position 98,832,982 of record NC_000011.10, on the reverse strand, counting down.
TTTATTCAGTTTAATTGCTGATATTCTGAGGAACTCTTATTTTTCCATCATTGCTCTTAGAAACAATGCTGCTGCAATAAAACATCTCTGAGTTTGTGTTTAATTGCAAGTACCTCTCTAGAGTAGATGTCTGGAGGTAAAATTTCTGAGTTGAAAATAATGAGTTTCCTTTGGCTTAGCATCCTTGATTCTCCAGACACTGCTCAAATATATACTCTCACCAGTAATCTATAAAAACACAAATTAATCAACCTTGTCTTTAAAAATGGGTACTGTCAGATTTACAAATTTTTGTACTGTGATGAGGGTCTTATGAGTTTAAATTGCTTTCGCCTAATGAGTATCAATAAAAATATCAGGTGTATTGGTTTGCTAGAACTGCCATTACAAAAATTCCACAGACTGGATGGCTTAAACAATTGAAATTTATTTATTCACAGTTCTGGAGGCTGGAAGACCAAGTTCAAGGTTTTACAAGACAAGGAAGGAGAGAGGCCTCAGAAGAGATCCATTCTCCTTCCTTGTCTTGCAAAAGTTTGATTTCCCACTATGTCCTCACATAGTTGCCTCTTAGTCTCTATGTTCACATGCCTAATGTATCTCTCTGTGTGTCCTAATCTCTTCTTCATAGAAGGATACACATGATGTTAGGTTAAGGCTCAACCTAACAACCCATAGTAACTGAATTACCTCTTTAAAGTCGCTATGTCCAAATATGGTCACCTTGGGGGATCTGGGGGCTTTGGCTTCAACATGTGAATTTTTCTTTCTCTGGGGGAAGAAGGATAGAATTCAGGTCCTGAAACCAGAGGACAAACAGGAGTCAGGAACACATATCATGAGAATATGTAATACGAATGAAAGTTGGAGTGGGGCCAAATCTAAAATTTCTGACTAAACAGATAAAATACACACACACACGCACACACACACACACACACACACACACAAACTAAAACTCACAATTATACAAACGCACACACACAAAAATACCTTCAAACTTCCCACGTATATTTAACCTTAGCTTTGGGTACTAGTGAGGTTCATACTAAGTACAAACATAAGTGAAGTCCTATAGATCCGAGGAGTCAAATAACAGTACAAGTGTGTTTGGATTTGAGGCATCCTCTCACATGACATGTTCAGAATATAAAGCTTACCTCTTTTACACAAAAGATGCTATATTTTTAGGAAGGAGGAGTGGAAAAGAAATCCTAAAAATTTAACATTTAAACTAAAGAAGACTTGTAGCTATTGTTGTTTAAAAAATAAAAAGAAACTGAAGCAGACTATTTCAAATAAGGTTATATAAATTATTGAGATACCCTAAATTTATATAGTAGGGTTATATTAAACACTATTTTTAGACATTAAAATAATAGTGGTTGGAAAATATTTAGTATAGAAATAACCGCAGTATTTACTTAAAGTCATCTTTCAAATTTTATTTGATTTTTTAAATATTTCTGTTAAACATGTTTTACTGAAGATGTCTAAATATCTTAAATGTGTCAATAAAAAAAACAGGCAACTTTTGTTTCGAATTAAATCAATGGGATCCAAAATGGATTTCTTAATTGTTTATGGGTTTAAAGTTTCTAGAGAATGTTCTTAATTGGCTGCTCTGTTTTTAATGTGTGCTGTTCACTGGATGAAAATGCTCCCACTGTTATCACCAGAAGAGAAAAGACAGAAAACAGGAGTAGGATGTATATCCATTTGATTCTCATTTCATGATGCAGTCTCCCCTTCTTCATCCATGTGATAAAGCTTTCTCTGAACACAATGAGTGTTCTTTGTGATGCAGCAATATAAGAGAGTACAGAAGCAATGAGAGTTCACCATATGGAGTGAACACGAGAAGTCTTTTGCCTTCCAAAGAGCTCAGTCTTCAAAGTCTCTCCCTTCAATGATAGACTTAAATTCAAATGATAGAATATCAAAGAAAAGACCAATGAAGTAATTGAGCTAAAATTTCACATTATAAATAGAGGGGGGAAACTTTTTACATTTAAGCAACAGAAATCTCAGAATTATTTTCTGTCAAAACAATACAGTTAGATTCAGTCTCGGAACTCATGAAAACAGCTTTCTGATTGTCATAGGGTTAACAAACTCACAGACATTTTCACCTTGAGACTCAAAATATAGACCTTAATATCAAAATGCATTATGCAAGTAGGTCTGTAGGTAGTGAGGTTCAATTCTTCTGGGATCTCTTGAATATATAAAGAAGGCCTGTTAGAATTGTTTGACTAAATAATGAGAGGTGGGAACATTTATCCATTACTAATCATCTCCCTTTGGTTGAATCTTGACACTTGGGATGTTAATACCTCTGCAAGTTTTATGTATAAGTTCTACCATTCTCTGAAGTGTCTGAGAGCCCTAATGCAAGAAGCAGAGATGCAGTTCACAAACTAGAGACAAAATGCTGGCAAGCCAAAGTGAGTTCAAGCCTCCAAGGAATGGTCTATTCCAAAGTACCTGAAATCAGAGGTAGGATTGAGAGGACATGATTCTAGGTAGCAAATAGCAAATGTATCTGAAGCAGTTTTAGTTTCCGATTTAGTTATTTATCACAGGTGTTCTGCTTTACCACGCAGATCCCTCTTTACGACTAAAGGCCAAGGAAGTTTATTGGCTAACAGCCAATCTTCCTAGGGACTTGGTTCTTGGCTGAAAGGAGAGCTGTCTTCTAAAGGTTAGGCTTTCTTTCTGGGAAAGCCTACATTCCAGATGGGTCAATGCAGGAGTATAAAGTTCCAGCCACCTCACCCCAAATTACGACAACTCTGAAGAAAAGTCAAGCTTTGCAGTCCTCCCTGGGAACATGCTAAGGCATTATTCTGACAGCACTGTAGCCCAGTTTCTCTCTCTGCCAAGTTTTCATGCTGAATGAAACTCTGTTTTCTTCCTTTCTCTTGAGATACTGATCTTAAGAACACACTTTAATAAACATGCTCCACACTAACCTTCAACTCAGAGTATGTTTCCTTGGGAACCAATCTGTGGTAATTGATACAAGGTGATCCGAAAAAACAGTGGTAGAATGGGATTTGGGAGCTGAACTATATGTTGTGCAGCTGGCATTAGGGGCCATATTACTGGTTGTAGAAGGAGCTCATATAGTACCTGGGACAAGTTATCAGTAGAATTCCCAAACCTTTATTGTAGTAAACTGGAATGTATTCTGTTGGAAGGAACCACCCTGTTGCGTAGGAGAAATAGTAATTAAAAGGAAAATGGAATAATAGAGTTGAATGGCTGTTGCTGGGGTAAACTGATGTTTTGGGAAGAGCTAATGAAATGCTGATGATGATTAGCCTTCAAAGGTAGAAGTCATGGAAACTTGATGGCAGTATATAAAGATGTTCTCTAACACAGCTGTATCACAAAGAATGCTAAGATTTAGCCCCAGGACTAAATAATTAATATAGCAGAGCTCCAGATAAACTTGTAGGACTCATACATCTGATATGTCAAGGTCAAGGCCCTGATTGAGAAAGAGTGAAACCCTAAAATATGGCTGAAGAAACTGTTTGATGCAATAAAACATCTTCAATCCCTAGATTTTTTTTTAACTGAAGTTATACTTTTGGTGCAATCTTCCAAGTCAGAGGCTAACATTTTACCATAGCTTCAATGTGATAGATTTAGAAGCTTCTACTCTACAAAAATGATCCCACAAACAAAACAAAACAAAACAAAACAAAACAAAACAAAACAAAACAAATGTATGCATCCACCCACTGTAAACTGGCCCTCTGACATCCCCTCAGGCCAGTTTTCTCATAACTAAGGTTGAGTCACAACATAACCCCACTGAAGAAGTGCTGGAATTGCTAGGAAAGCATGGATTGACATTCTGACGGAGCAGCAGGACCTAACACATCTATTGGTAGGAGCCCTGGAGAATATATAAGACCATAAGGAGAGAGTGCACAATCAAAGAGTATAGAACATAAACTTGTGGCTGGGCATGGTGGTTCACACCTGTGATCCTAGCACTTTGGGAGGCTGAGGAGGGCAGATCACAAGGTCAGGAGATCAAGACCATCCTGGCCAACAGGGTGAAAACCTGTCTCTACTAAAAATACAAAAATTAGCTGGATGTGGTAGTGCACACCTGTAATCCCAGCTACTCGGGAGGCTGAGGTGGAAGAACGGCTTGAATCCGGGAGGTGGAGACTGCAGTGAGCTGAGATCGCACCACTGCACTCCAGCCTGGTGACAGAGCGAGACTCCGTCTAAAAAAAAAAAAAAAAAAAAAAAAAAAAAAACAGAATGTAAACTTCTATAAGAAAAAACTTTCTAATATGAGAATTCTCTCCTGAGATATGGGATTTCAAATTCTGGCATGATTTCCAGGAGACAGTGATAAAAGAGGATTAAGATATCTCTTAGAGACATGGAAAAAGTGATGACAGTCAAAGTAAAGCCAAAAAGCCAAAATTACAAGAAGAGATCAAGCATAGAGAATTAAACATGCTGGAGTGTTTTTGAGATGTAAGAACCAATTATCCCCTCCCCCTATCCAGTACTATGTTTCACAGAACAATTTAGAGGACATCACAGTTACCAAAGCATCAAGACAGACACAAGCATCACTGTGAAGCTAAGGTAAGTAGTGGCTCTACTCAATAAATAAGGGTTCATGGAAAACATGCTGTTATAGAATGTGGCTCACTGATAATAATGGAGATAACAAAATCTGCAAATAGAAGTCAGGTAGCAGTACTGGACTATCAGCAGTTAGCAGGGTGCTATTATAATAATAAGTAGCAAGGTTTGATTGCCAGCCAGGGTGCGTGGCCCACTGAAAGCTATGGATATGATTTATGGAACACAGCACCCCAAGGAGTGACCTAGATGGACAGTCTTTTTATGACATTTATTGGGGTATACATAATAACATGTATTGCTCAGTCTATTTAACCAAATGGAATAAATAACACAGGATTAGGAGACTGAGCATGGTAATCCCAGTAACGGGTCACCCCTTTTCATATTCCAGCCCTGAGCCAGTTTTCAAAATAAGAACCGTTGAGAGTAGAGATGATGTCTCCAAGAAGGATTCTGTAATTCCCTAACAAGTATACATAGGAATTATCCTAATTTCTCCCCAAAGGGACCTATGGCCATATACTCATGTAACTGTATATCAAATCAATGGGAATCCCCAAACATTTCAAGGACTACTGAACGCTGGTTACAAATTGACTAAGGACTAATTGCCTCCTTTGTTTTGAGAGAGGTATAATATAATGTTTGCTATTAACTAGCTAGTTTGTCTCCTTGAGGGTTGGAATCATACAAAGCAATTGACTGCTAACAGGCTGAGCTTTGAGCAACATGTGTTTCCATAACTGAGAAGGAAAATCTTATGCTTTTGTGACGATGTATATTCATCATCACTGCCACCATGGGCACTCCATTCATGGGCTCATTGAGCCAACACTGGAGAGGCTGAGGACAAAGGATGTTCTATATCCACAGATTGGGTTATCATGCCTACCTGCTTGTCAGATATCTCCTTTATGGAACATGCTTTCTGATGCTAAACAATGTGAGCTACAATCGTCTTTACATTTCATATCGTTTTGTCATAGGTTCATTAACTTACCTCTTCTCCATACTTTCTCATCTCTGATCTTTCAGACTTCCTTCATCTAGACTACTGATCTACCAGCCCATTTTTCCTGAAAAGAATTACACACGCACGTGCGCACGTGCGCGCACACACACACACTTCAAACTATTCTCTCTCCATATAATAAATGGCTAACCAAAGTACTTAAAGCTCTACTTACATGGGGAATTTTTCCTCAACTCTGTACTATTATGGCCACACCTGAATGAAAGGACCATATATTGAGTGAAACAGTAGTCTACCATACCAATATATGAAGACAATCCATTATCAACCAGGCTTAAATGTGGTCTTATCCCCCAGAAACTGGTCATGGAGAAATTCTAATAAGGCAATTGATGTACTCTGAAGGAGGACTGTTTCTACAACAGAGATTGGTGATATGAATCTGGGCCAACTGCTTATGAAAATTTTTGATGTTCCCTAAAATAACTGAGAAATTATCTCAAATGTACTATTTCCATAATAAAATGCATTGCTGTTTCACCAACTTGATCTGATAGCTCAGAAAATTGATAATACTATATTTATCATGTGCAGCCCTGGGCACATCATCAGTTAACAACCAATAGTCAGGTGCTCAGCCTCTACAAAGGCCTATTATTATTTCAAGGGCTCTTCTCCAAATGGCTGTTATTTTATAAATTCCCAAAGCATGATTTTCCTGCAGAATATTCGGGCATCTTTGCTATTTCTTACCTATATATTCACTTTCTAGCACACATATTTTAAAGGTCACCCAGAGTATTTGCCAATTTATATACACCGTGTTCACCTTTCATTTCATTACTACAGTGCGTCACTGTACTGCACATGCACAGAATTTAAAAATGATCACGAACTCTATTGTCCCCGAGGCAAAATACATAATGTTCATCACTTTACTGCCTAAGTAATAGGGAACTTATTTGACTAGTTTTAATGATGGAAAATAAGGCATTTGCCAAGTCAATAGGCACATATTAAAGAACAGAGGCTATTGATTTGTTTCTGTACATATACCACATTAAGCATAGTATCCATACTCCATGATCCATTTGGATTTTAAAGGAACTAAATAGAGAATTGAATGGAGATATGATGGGACCACCCACTTTACCTCCTTTCCTCTTGTGGAGTGGTGATAATCTCTAAAATCCTCCCTGGGATGCAGTATTGCTACTGATGTACAATCTTGGCTGGGCTTTAAAGAGAGGGATTTCAGGGTCTTCTATCTGCACTTTCAACAATGTCTTCGTAGACCAGGGAATGAGTACTAAGTTTCTGAAAAGTATCTAAATATTTTCAAATGAATTATTCACATGATGACTGAAGAAACAATCAGGAAAATGGCATAACTTTAGAATGGAGTTTGGCCAGGATTTCAGGTATCACCTGGCTTTCACAAATTCCAATTCTAAAATAGAAGGAAAGGATAGTATTTTAGTTTACCTGGTATCAGTCTTATCTTCAACTGACAGTCTTTGAAGAGTTTAGATATTCTCTTTTTCCTGATATAAGTTTCTATGTACATTTTGTGAAACTGCAGGATATGTGTGTGTATACATATATATACATATATAAAATCTCATGTAATCAATAATCAATGTGCTCTCAACTTTACTATCTGCATCTTTCATTTCGTCTTTGCAGCAGTGAGCAGATACTATCATCCTCTTTCAAGGTTTATTTACCTGTCATTTTTTTTTTTAATGTTCATTATTTCTACTTCACGAGAAGACATTACATTTAACTTTTTAATCTTTGTCTTCATCTTTATTTTGATCTTAGTATTACAAGTAGTTATATTAAATATTCACTATCAATACTTTTTTTTCTGGAAAGAAACATTAAATAAGGGCTTACAAACAGAAGCCATGTCTGGGTCTTGGGGAGTGACAAGACAAGATGGTAGATCCCTGTGTCATGATCCTTCAGACCCAGGATTTATATGCCATAGGGAAAGGTTTATGTAGGACAATTGCTTAAGTGCAGGATTTATGGTAAATATGATAACATAAAGGTTGTTTTGACCTAAGGGCAGGATTTACAGTAAACACATGCTCTTATACAAGAAGAGTTGATAAAAGTAGAAATCTTAGAGGCCTTCCTGGAACTGGAATTACTCAGAAGTCAACATGGTAGATGAGCATTCAAGATAGAGTTGCTCTGGCCTCCATACTCCACCCCCCTCAATCTAGCTTTTACAACCTCATGCACCCTCCTCTTCCACAATTGTCCCTGAGCATTTAAGGAAGATGCTTCATATCCTATAGCTTTAGTGACAGTGTGTTGGCAATGAAAAACCCAGTGGGTTTCCAAATGTGAGAGATTGACAGGCTCTGTTGAATAATCTCTAATCTTTGAAACACCACCCATGACTTTGGTTTTCTCAGAAGTAAAACAGTGAAATATCTATAATATTAATAATTTGAATAGTGGAAATGTAATGCACACAAGGATTACAATCAAACTTTTTTTATGCCAGAACAACAATAAAAAAGAACTTCTTCCATTAGGGAGCCAACTAAAAGCATCATGAAGAAAATTAAAACCCAGTTTTTCTGTAGAGACTTCTTATAGCCAGGAAATAATTCAGGATTTAGCCCAAATTGTAGACAAATAATATAAACTCAAAAAATTGGTCAGGTCTAGAATCTAAGTTTTATTCTCTCCGGTTTCCCCATTACTACCAAAGAGAAAAGAGAAATCATAGTAGGATCAATTCATTTGCAAAATACACTTTTCCTTGAACTGTATGCTGCTCCATTATTATTATAATTAACATGTTACCCTGGAATCTGACACCCGTCTGCTACCACTATAATTCACACACATACAATATGATTGTGAGTGTTCATACACATATATATATATAAATAACAGGAAAAGAAATAAAACCAGAATTTCATGTTATCTTCTTAATATTGGTTACTAGCCTTATACTAATAGTTATTGGTATATTCCCTTTAGCCAATTCTTTATATCTTATTAGCTCTACTGGTATGTTGAACCACTTTTTTTACATTACACAAAAACATTTATGATAATCTGATAACAAATGCACATTTTACACAAATTAAACTAGAATGTAACACAAAGAAATTGCTTTAAGTCGATAAGTTTTGTGGTTGGTTGTCATAAAGCAACAGCTACCTGATATAAAATTAGGATCTAGAAAGAAGTGTTATTATAGCAAAACATAAAATAAAAGACATTGGCTTTGGGCAGTACGTAGGTCCTAGATAAAAGTACTAAAACAATGGCCACTCATATTTTATTGTGCTGAAACAATTTGTAATGCAGTCACTTATTGTATTTTAAAATATAGAGGCCGGGCGCGGGGGCTCACGCCTGTAATCCCAGCACTTTGGGAGGTAGAGGCGGGTGGATCATGAGGTCAGGAGATCGAGACCATCCTGGCTAACAAGGTGAAACCCCGTCTCTACTAAAAATACAAAAAATTAGCCGGGCGCGGTGGCGGGCGCCTGTAGTCCCAGCTACTCGGGAGGCTGAGGCAGGAGAATGGCGTGAACCCGGGAGGCGGAGCTTGCAGTGAGCGGAGATCGCGCCGCTGCACTCCAGCCTGCATGACAGAGCGAGACTCCATCTCAAAAAATAAAATAAAATAAAATAAAATAAAATATAGGAAATATATTCAGTGATCTTTTGAAATTGAGCAATAAAATTTTGAAGCAGAATGTTCAAAGTAGCGTCTAGTTGTTTGAACAGGTTGAGTATCCCATATGCAAAATGGTTGGGACCAGAAGTATTTTGGCTTTTGATATTTTTTCAGATTTTGGAATATTTGCATATGCATGAGATACCTTGAGGATGGGACCCAAGTCTAAACATGCAATTCATGTATCCTTCATATAAATCTTACATACATAGTCTGAAGGTAACTTTATACAATATTTAAAATGATTTTTTGCATAAAAAGTTTGTATTAAATACTTATGTGTAAAATTTTCCACTTGTGGAATCACGTTGACACTCAAAACATTTCAGGGTTTGGAGCATGTCAGATTTCAGATTTTCGATGTTCAAATTAGGAATGCTCAACCTGTATTCTCATATTCTTTTGTCCCAAAATACACAGCAGATTTAAAGAGAAACTGCCCAAATTACAAATATAATTTAAAAGAAATATAGAGGGGTCAGAGCTTACTGAGTTAGAGAATAAAACAGTTTCTCATATCTAACTTTTTTTTTTCTATAGACTAGAAGAAAGTAGAAAAACTTTCTCAAAAGGCTTATTTCCCAATTCCATTTTAAAAGTGGTCAAGGTAGAAAAGGAAAGATATCCCAGACAGTGGAGCCAAGAACCCTGGAGAACAACTGAGGGACACTTCAAAGGTGCAGGGGCCTAACCAAGGCCTATTAACTGCCCCCCACCCTGCCCACCGCCCCAAGAAAAGAGACCAGATGATATTGGCTAGTAAAATTTTAGGACTGCTCAGGATCAGTGACAAGTGCTTCCCTCTGCTTGGCTTTCCGAGTGGGAGTTTACTGCTGTTACTCTGTTCACACCTCACTATTGTATATAGAGTATTAAAATACGGGGAAAAGAACTTGTCTTTTCAGTTTACAGGTGTCTAAATCAGAAGGAGCCATACCTGAAGAACTATATTCAGATCTGATGTAGACCATGATATGCAGGTTCACTGAGACTTTTGTCATAACTGGACATGACTTCAGGGAATTCTGAGATGGAGCCGAGCACATTCAGCTGTTGGAGATTCATGAGTTGTTGTGGTTAGAGATTGGATTTGATAGCATGGTTTTAAATCAGTTTCAGTTTTCCCCACCTTCTATATCCACACTTGCATTGTGTCTTTGAATCTCTTCCCATCAAAAAATGTAACCTATAATGTAAATCTGAGAGGGCCAGTTGATTGCAACAGAAGTGATGATACTCCCATAAGCTTGTGAGAACAAAGTCCTCAGACAAAGTGTCAGAGCTGCTATTAGGAAAGAAACCATCAGCACATACTAAAAAGGCTAGTAAGGAAAGGTAAGTGCAGGGTATTGAAAGTAGCTGCAATATTTTCAATATATTATACTTCATCTTTGGTTGACCTTTTTTTTTTTAATCGGGACATTCTTAAGTCAATTTTCAGACTAATTTCCTCATTTCATAAAACATATTTAAACATTGAACTCAAATGCAAGAAATTGTCTTAATTCTATTGACATGTTGATTGCTCTAAGTTGTGACATACAGTCTTCAAAACTCTGCTTGTCACTGTCACTCTTTTTTTCAATATTATGGCATAATATGTCTGCTTGTACCTTCTTTAAGACCAACACATTGCTGAAATATTCATTGTGATAATCAATCTTCAACAGATTCCCAGATGTTTCTAGCATATGCAATATTAAAAAAGAGATGCTAGCCATGAAAAGATACAAATTAAATTATTTTTGTAATATCACCTAATAAAACTCTTTTCTAACAACTGGTTTTAATTTAGGAAACTCACTCCTTGCATAATCTCTGAAGTTAAATTCCAGAGCAAAGAAATTTAGAGAAGTAGGCAAAGGCAATGTAATCTTTCTATTAATATGTTCAGCTAAAGTCACTGACTGTGTAAGAGATGAACAAAAATCATTTTCTCCTAAAAGAGCTAATTTTCCTTGTGTAAATTTGTTTAAATAAAACCAATAAAATTTTGACATGGGCTGGAATTTTCTTCTTTTCTTTGCCATAAGCAAGAACATTGACTTTCATAACATTTCTTCCCTCAGAAGATTGATAAACTCTTTGCCTTTTCTGTACTGATTGAAAGATAGAAAATATGGCTTAATAATGGCTCAATGTAAAATTATCAGAAATTTAGTGAGTTACTTTTATTTATTATTTTATTTTATTATTATTGTACTTTAAGTTTTAGGGTACATGTGCACAATGTGCAGGTTTGTTACATATGTATACATGTGCCATGTTGGTGTGCTGCACCCATTAACTCGTCATTTAGCATTAGGTATACCTCCTAATGCTATCCCTCTCCCCTCCCCCCACCCCACAACAGTCCCCGGAGTGTGATGTTCCCCTTCCTGTGTCCATGTGTTCTCATTGTTCAATTCCCACCTATGAGTGAGAACATGTGGTGTTTGGTTTTTGTCCTTGCAATAGTTTGCTGAGAATGATGGTTTCCAGTTTCATCCATGTCCCTACAAAGGACATGAACTCTTCATTTTTTATGGCTGCGTAGTGTTCCATGGCGTATATGTGCCACATTTTCTTAATCCAGTCTATCATTGTTGGACATTTGGATTGAGACACAACCAAAAAAGAGAATTTTAGACCAATATCCTTGATGAACACTGATGCAAAAATCCTCAATAAAATACTGGCAAACCGAATCCAGCAGCACATCAAAAAGCTTATCCACCATGATCAAGTGGGCTTCATCCCTGGGATGCAAGGCTGGTTCAACATACGCAAATCAATAAATGTAATCCAGCATATAAACAGAACCAAAGCCAGAAACCACATGATTATCTCAATAGATGGAGAAAAGGCCTTTGACAAAATTCAATGACACTTCATGCCAAAAACTCTCAATAAATTAGGTATTGATGGGACGTATCTCAAAATAATAAGAGCTGTCTATGACAAACCCACAGCCAATATCATACTGAATGGGCAAAAACTGGAAGCATTCCCTTTGAAAACTGGCACAAGACAGGGATGCCCTCTCTCACCACTCCTATTCAACATAGTGTTGGAAGTTCTGGCCAGGGCAATTAGGCAGGAGAAGGAAATAAAGGGTATTCAATTAGGAAAAGAGGAAGTCAAATTGTCCTTGTTTGCAGATGACATGATTGTATGTCTAGAAAACCCCATTGTCTCAGCCCAACATCTCCTTAAGCTGATATGCAACTTCCGCAAAGTCTCAGGATACAAAATCAATGTACAAAAATCACAAGCATTCTTATACACCAATAACAGGCAAACAGACAGCCAAGTCATGAGTGAACTCGCATTCACAATTGCTTCAAAGAGAATAAAATACCTAGGAATCCAACTTACAAGGGATGTGAAGGAGTTACTTTCATTAAGCTGAATTGTGTGCTTGATTTGTTGCTTTTCATGAAGAAATAATTGTATATTTAAAGGACAGAGAAGTTTTAATTTTGTCTTAGCTTATCAAATGCTTTGTTAGTATTTATTAAAATAGAAAATAAAAGAATGTATGAACTTGGGAATTGTTCGATTGGTTTCTTAAATTTTAACAAATATATCATTAATAATTTTATTAAATGAGATATATATATATATATATATATATATATATATATATATATATATACCTAATAAGAGCTACTACCTACAGGAAATTTAAAAGGCCACAAAATAAAATGTTATGGAAGGGATTATTTTTGAAGGAATAATGAAAAATAATTAAAGGTTCACGCATCTACTTCTTAAAGAACAAGCACTATTTTGCTAGATTCAATCAATATATCATAAAATAATACAGACAATAAAAATATCTTACCATTGTATATTAAAATTGATAAATGAAGAAATAGGATGAAAAAAGAGAAGGAAAATGAATTTATTTGGAGAGAACATAGGAAATAAAATAGAGGTTTACTGGGATAAATAAGAGTGCTAAAAAGAGAAACCAAAAAAATAGAATAATACATTATTTAAATTTACAAAAACATTTTTGAAAGTGATATTAAAAAACCAGACTTTGAAAGATGTTGCACGCTTTCAATTTAAGCTTTAGATGCAGTCATGAGGTTTTTATGTTCACTCAACGAAAAGACAGTATAAACATATAATGAGCAATTATAATATTTTTCTAATAAATGTCATAGAAACAATAAAATCTATCATTTAAGTGTCTGGATCGATGACACTGACAAATACATACACCCATACAACCATTATCTCAATAGAGATATATAACATTTCCATCTCCCCAAAAGTTTGTTAACTCTGTTTAATATAATCTTATAAACCCACCAGCTACCACCTCCTGCAACCATTGATTTTGATCTGATTTCTATTGCTATAGGTTAGATTTGCCTGATCTAGATTTTGCCTGTTCTCAAGTTTTATATAAATGAAACTATATAATACATGTTCGTTTCTTCTAGCTTCTCTCAACAAAATCTTTGGATTTTCATCCATGTTGTTGTGTGATGCAGAAGTTCATTACTTTTGATTGCTAAGTAGTTTTCCTTGCTGGATAATTATACCCCAGGTTTTTTGTTCTTATTCACTCACCTATTGATGGACATGACTTCTTTCTAGGTTTTAGCTATGAAAATTCAGGAATTAGAATTTTCTAAACATATTGTGTATATGTGTATATAATGATTTATACACACATACATATACTAGTAAATTTGTAGTTGTGGCATTCCTAGGTCATATGAGTGTATAATTATCATTTTAGGATACTTGCAAAATTATTTTCCAATGTGGTTACACTATTTTATATACCAATCAGCAAATTTAGAAGAGTTCCAATTCCATATCCTTACCAACATATGGTACCACCATGTTTTTATTTTTCGCCATTCTAGTGAAATTTAAGTGGTATTAACTTGAAGTTATGAACATATTGAGCATTTTTTCATATAATATTGAATAATCTTAAGTATGGTTTTGTAAAGTATGTCTGCAATTAATTTTGCCCCCTTTTTTGGTTGTTAGTCTTTTATCCTTGACTTCTCAGAGTTATTGATATACTCTAAAGACAAGAACTTTCTGAGATATATGTGTGTTGAATATTTTCTGTCGGTTATGGTTTTGTGGTTTACGTTTTTTTTTTTCTTTTCTTTTTTAAGTCCAGGCATGATCTCAGCTCACTGCAACCTCCGCCTCCCAGGTTCAAGTGATTCTCTTGCCTCAGCCCCCAAGTAACTGGGACTACAGGTGTGCACCACCATGCCTGGGTAATTTTTGTATTTTTAATAGTGATGGGGTTTCACAATGTTGGCCAAGCTAGTCTTGAACTGTTAACCTCAAGTGATACACCCGTCTCGGCCTCCCAAAGTTCTGGGATTATAGGCGTCAGCCACGCGCATGGCCAGGTTTCCATTTTCTTGATGCCTTTTAAAAATTAGAATTACTTCATTTTAATTAACTCAAATTTTTCAGTATTTCCCTTTTTTCTGTTCCTAGAAAACTTTACTTTCTCCAGGGTTACAAAAGCTTTCTACTATATTATTTCTAGATACTTTATTATTTTAGCTTTTATATTTATGTCTATAATTCATTTCAAAATCAAGTATTTTGAACACCATATGTTCTACAAAGTTATCCAATTACTTCAGCACCAAATGTTGAAAAGATTAGCCTTTTTAAAACATGCTGTTTCCATTATCATTCAGTTTACAATGTATTTGAATTCCCTTTGTGAATTTTAAACTGACTCTGGTTTAAATTTGTTTTGGTAAAATAACATACTGTATATAATTTTAATACTTAAAACTTACTGATACTTGTTTAATGGCTCAGTATTTTATCTACATCAGTTAATGTTCAATGAGCACTTTAAAATAATGTACACTTGCTATTGCTTGTCTCACGTTCTATAAAGATAAAGTTGACACTATTGTTCTGGTTTATTCCTACTGACATTCTCTTTAATGTTATCAATTGTTAAGAGAAGAGTGATAAAATCTTCATTTGTCGATTTGTCACTTCCTTTAATTCTGTCAGATTTTGTCTTGTATTTTCTGAAGCCTTAAAATTAGATGTAGATACATTTTAAATGACAATGACTTCTTTATGAAATGACATTGTGGTCATAAAATATATCTTTAGTAAATTACTTGTTCCAAATCCCACATTATTATTAATACAGCTTTCTAAAAATTAATGTTTTAGTAGTTAGTGGATTTTTTTTTCAAGTTTCATACCTTTCTAGTAAAATGTCCTTCTTGTAGAAACCATTTTGCTGGATCTCCTGTTTATACTCTACTTGATGATACCTGACATTTTATTGAATGTTAAAACTGGTTTCATAAATATATTTATATAAGAATTAATACTACCATTTCCTATTGATTATACTGTCTCATTTTTACAATTTTTATATGGGTGCATTCTCGAGGATTGAGAACTGTTTCACAGCAAATTTTTAATCTTTATTATTAGCTATACCTTGTTTTAATTTTTTATTGTTAAACAATTTTTATGGGATTTATAATATATATCATTAAATTATTACAGTCTAACTTCAATAATATTATACCACTTCACATATAATGTAACAAGCTTTAAGCAACATGCTTCCATTTCCCCATCCCATCATTTGCGTTTCTTAAATGTAAACCTTACAAAACATTGTTTTTTGAGAAGACATTTTGAATGAATTTAGGAATATAGAGTACTTTTTTCTCTCTCTTTATTATTTGCTACATGGTCCAAGTATGAGTAGCATTAGAATTACTTCAGAGTCTGTTATAATGACAGCTTCTCAGTCCCATCCATATATACTGAATAAAAAACTATATTTTAATAAAATTCTTTTGTTATTTGTATGCCTCTTAAAATTGAGACTCGGTCTAATCTATTTTGAATGGCAATTTTCTAGGAAACGTAATGATCATTAAGGACTAACCAAATGAGTCCTTTGGTGCTATCAAAGCTACGGCATTTCAGAGAAGGATTTTCTAGTTCCTTTGAGGGATTTTTAATTTCTTCACTTTAAAAGTAAGCTTCTTTTCCAGATTTATTCAGAGCACTTTCAATTTAACTGTACCTTATATATCATCATCCCTCCTACAATAAACATAGCTAAATTCAATTTCACTAACAATTTTTCAGAGATAATTATTTACTTTATTACAAGTGAATCATTAGGTTCTCACATAAATTTAACTGAAAGAAAAAGACTATCTGATTTCCTAAGTCTGAATCAAAGTGCTTGTAAATATCTGGGAGATGGAAGTTAACCATCAGAGATTTATATTCTGCATGCTGGTCTTCCAGAAAGGGAGTAAGCAATGCACGATGCTATATAACTGCAATGAGAAGACTGGTACATTAGTCTCCTGATGAACCAGGGCAGCGACTTACAATCCCTGAATTATAAATGTTGAAGTGGTAAAATAGGACAGGAAGTCATGCTTCTACAACATTGTGTTGTTGCAACCACATATTATGAACATGTCCCCCTGATCATATCAGTGAAGGCTTTGACATTTGCTCATGTAGTAAAATTTGCAGGAGCGAAACAGGGTTGTTGGCCAATATTCTGCCAGTTCTTTATACCATTGAAAATACTGGTATTTACCTAAAAAATAGTTAATGCATGCTAGACTTAATACTTAGGTGATGGGTTGATAGGTGCAGCAACCCACTATGGCACACGTTTCTCTATGTAACAAACCTGCACGTCATGCACATGTACCCCGGAACTTAAAATAAAAACTCCAAAGCCAGGGGTTTAGAACACTGTACTGGAGTTTGACATCTATCTTTCCTCGACTCCTATGTGTTTTCTCAAAGTGTTCTAAGAATAAGGGACATTTAGTAATGCTCTTCTCTTCATGCCTGTGCTAAAAACACATGGTTCAAAGTGTTTTCTTTGACTGCGTCAACTTTTTCAGTTATAAAATATTTTTCCTGTGTGCTATTTGCTCAACTATATGAATTTATCTATTCACTCAGAGAATAATCATTACGCTTCTATAGATATGTCAGAAACTTTCTTGGATATTGAGTAAATTATAGGTTTTTTGGATACAAAATTGAAAAGACAGTATCTCTGACCTCAAAGTAATCATAATCAATTGGGGAGACAAGAAAAAAATTGAAAATATGATGAATGAAAAATGAAAATTACATTTAAGAAACAAGTGATGAGATATTCAAAGTTTATGCAAGTTGAGAGAAATTAAAGTCCAGCCAGATCTGAAGAGTCTATGTCATTTCTTAGCATTGAGGAGGTGGTAAGTAAATGTATTGCCATCCCTCTCCAATTATGATATAGACTTTTTCCTCCCCACAATACAACACTGACCAAATAGGCTACACATTTCCTAGAAATTTGTGAAAGACTGAAAAAATGGAAAAGCAAAACAAAAAGTACTTTGAAAGAGTTACTATGTGACTCTTACACCATATTTTTTCCGTCTTGGTGTAAGGATCCTATTCCTTCATGACTCTTGTCATGCAGCAATGGCAAAGCCAATTCATAACAAAGTAATGAGAGTTTTCCATAGGTGTCCAAAACCCAGGAAAACTCCTGGATGGTGCAGAGCAACAGAAAAATTAATGCCTTATTTTTTGCCTTAGAATCATACTTCTTGCACTTTCTCTCTGTTCATAGATTTGTTGACTTGCCTTGGGCCCTAAAAAGTACTTCAGAGAACAATATTTCAATAAAAACAAATTTATTGAATTCTGATTTATCCTATTTTAAATAACATCATAATAGGTAAAGTAACAATCTACCATGTGTAAACAAAGTTAGCCCTATTTTGCTTCATTTTTAACTATTTATTCAGGTCAAGGACAAAAGGGAATATCGGCTCGCTATCCTATTTATTTTTTTCTGTATTTTTTATGAAAAATCATCCTACCAAGAAAACGCAGGCACTCAACCATCCATAACTACACAGACTTAGACACAAACAGACACGTCTTCAAGAATAAGAGTAATACCGGCCGGGAGCGGTGGCTCACGCCTGTAATCTCAGCACTTTGGGAGGCCACGACGGGCGGATCACGAGGTCAGGAGATTGAGATCATCCTGGCTAACACGGTGAAACCCCGTCTCTACTAAAAATACAAAAAAATTAGCCGGGCGTAGTGGCGGGCACCTATAGTCCCAGCTACTTGGGAGGCTGAGGCAGGAGAATGGCGTGAACCTAGGAGGCGGAGCTTACAGTGAGCCAAGATTGCGCCACTGCCCTCCAGCCTGGGCGACTGAGCGAGATTCCGTCTCCGAAAAAAATAAAATTAAAAAAGGGTAATATCAACACACAAAAAAAGTCTAAACTCTGTATTTAAGAAAAAAACAAACTTCAATTTATAATTTTATAGGTAACTATAGTTCTATATATTTTTACATTTTCCCTTTGTATCTTACAACCTTGCCATCCCCAAAGTGAGAAATTCTGTAAATTTAGTTCCATGTCAAAGTAATTTTATCTTTTAAATTTTGTAATTTAAAAAAACATTTTTAAAATATTTTTATTACAGATTAGCAATCATATAGAATTAACATTAATTTGTACAGTTTCTTTGCTCAATATTTCCTATATTTGTTTCATTTTCATTAATGTAAGTCCTCCAACTTCGTCCTTTTTCAAAATTGTTTTGATCATTTGAAATCCCTTGAGATTCCATATGAATTTTAGGACAGATTTTTCAATGCATGCAAAAAATTTCACTGAGATTTTAATAAGAATTGCAGTGAATCTGTAGATTGTTCTGGTTAGTACTGATATGTGTGTGTTTTTTTGTTGTTGTTTTTTTTAGATGGTATCTGGCTCTGTTGCCCAGGCTGGAGTGCAATGGCATGATCTCAGCTCACTGCAAGCTCCACCTCGCAGGTTCACACCATTCTCCTGTCTCAGCCTCCCGAGTAGCTGGGACTACAGGTGCCTGCCACCACACCCGGCTAATTTTTGTTTTTTGTCTTTTTTTTTTTTTTTTTTTTTTTGTAATTGCAGTAGAGACGGGGTTTCACTGTGTTAGCCAGGATGATCTCGATCTCCTGACCTCGTGATCAGCCCACCTCAGCCTCCCAAAGTATTGATATCTTAATAGTATTAAGAACACAGAAGACTTTTCCATTTATTTGTCTTTAATTTCAGCAACGTTTCATAATTCTCAGTGTACAAGTCTTTCATCCCCTGGATTAAATTAAATCCTCAATATTTTGTTCTTTTCAATGCTGTTATAAATGAAGTTATTTGCTTTTCCTTTTGGAATTGTTTATTGGCAATGTATAGAAATGGAAGTGATTTTTGCATGCTAATTTTGTATCCTCCAATTTTGTCAAATTTGTTTATAGTTCTTGTGTGTGTGTGTGTGTGTGTGTGTGTGTGTGTGTGTGTGTATTGATTATTGACTGTTTTCTAAATATAATCTCCTGTCATCATCTGGAAACAGATCATTTTACTTCTTCCATTTCAATTTGAATGCCTTTTATGTCTATTTATGGCTGAATTACTTTGGCTAGAACTTCCAATACAATATCAAATAGAAGTGGAGAAAGTGAGCATACTCTGTCTTGTTCCTGATCTTAGAGGAGAAAGCTTTCAGTCATTAATCATTGAGTATAATGTTCACTTTGGGTTGCCCTTTATTACCTTGAGGTAGTTGTTTCTATTTCTATATTGTTCAGTGATTTTATTGTAAAGGAGTGGTAAATTTTGTCAAATACTTCCTATGCATCAATTGAGATGATCATATCATTTATTTCCCCCTTCATTCTGTTCGCATAATGTACTAAATTGATTTAATTTCATATGTTGAAGCATTCTTGTGTCCCAGGAATAAATCCCAATAGGTGAGTAGGTATAATTATTTTAAGATGCTGCAGGATTTTGCTACTATTTTGATGAGGATTTTTGCATCAATATTAATCAGGAGCATTGGTCTCTAGTTTTCTCGTAGCATCTTTGTTGGGCTTTGGTAAGAGGGTAATTCTCACCTCTTAAGATGAGTTGGGAAATATTCCTCCACTTTAAATTTTTCGAAGAGTTTGAGAAGCAGTGGTGTTAGTTCTTTAAATGCTTTCTAAAATTTACTAGTGAAGCCATGTAGTCCTTTTCTTGGTTGGGATATTTTAAATTACTGATTCAATCTCTTTATTAGTTGTAGGTATATTCAAGTTGTTTTTATTTACTCATGACTGAGTTTTAATAGGTTTCGTGCTTTTAGGAATATGTCTATTTCATCTAGGTTACTGCTATCATTTGAATATTGCCCCTCCAAAATTAATGTTGAATCTTAATCTCCACTACAACCGTATTAAGAAGTGAGGCCTTTAAGGAGTGATTAGGCCAGGAGGGCTGTGCTCTCATGGATAGGATTAGTCCCTTGAAAAAAGGGCTGTAGAGAAATAGCAGCTTCCTTTTTTCCCCTTTGTTTTGCCATGTGAGGATACAGGGTTCAAGGTGCAATCTTTGAAACAGACTCGGCCCTCACCAGACACTGAACCTGCCAGTACTTTGATCTTGGACTTCCCAGCCTCCACAACTATGAGAAATAAATTTCCATGATTTATAAATAACCCAATATTTAGTATTTTGTTATAGAAGCACAAAGAAACTAAGAAAACTATCCAATCTGTTGGCATACAACTGTTCATAGTACACTCTCATGATCCTTCTTAGTTTTATAAAATGGTACTAATGTCTCCATTTTTTTTTCTGATTTTAACAGTTTGGGTCTTGTCTCTTTTTTGTCTATGGCAATATGCCTAATTGTCAATGTTGTTGATATTTTGAAGAACTTTTAATTTTGTCTATTATTTGTTAATGTCTATTTTATTTGTCTGTGTACTAATCTTTATTACTACCTTCCTTCTGCCAGTTTTGGGTTTAGTTTGTTCTTGGTGATCAGAATACCTGTGTCAATTCTACGGTCAATATGTTGCTCATTCTTCTCTCTTTCTCAGGAATTTTAAGAATTTTCTTTACTTTTTATAGGCTTTTAGAAATTTGTTTGAAGCTGTTTTATTTTTGCATTTTCATTTTTTCATACTTTTGGGACTATGCTCTATATTATTTTCTTCCATCCTTTTTATTCTTTCTTTTTGAACTATTAGGGCATAAATTCTGAAACTTGTGTTATATATTTATTGATTTTCCTCAAATGCACTGTAGTTCTTCATCTTCTATTATTTTATGTATGTGAATTATGGCTTTTTAATGGTAGTCTAATAATTTAAGAGATTAGCTTTTTTTTTCCTGGAGGAGAGAGGCTCCCTTTGTTTCTTGAAGTTCAATAACTAGCTACCTCAGAGAAGCAACTACCCACTCAGGAGTAGACATTCAAGTAATTTATTGAGGAAAATACCTGTGAAGGATACTGTGGAAGGAATTAGATAAAGTGAAGTCCAAAAAGTGCAAAGCAGGTCTAACAATAACGGAGGAGAGAGATGGAAGGCAAATGGAAGAGACAGGTGGATCACATACTGCAGCGCAGTTCTAAGAAAGATTTCACAAGGTTGATGGAAGGTCCTTAAGACAGTGTCATCTGCTGGAGGAGTCCTGCCCTAGGCAAGAATGGGCCTAATACCCCTGCTATGCTCAGACATGAGCTGCAAGCAGCTTGCAGAAAATATTCCCTCAGCCCAGACACATTTGTGAACCCAGGAGGACAACAGCAGAGCTGTGAGTCAACAATGTTTCTTGCAGCAGTAGATATGAGCAGCATATTTCCCCATTTGCCATACCTGGGATAATATACAAACTCACCAATCATAGAGTGACTCTTCTTTCTTTCAGAGAACTTGTAGCTTGAAATTCATGACCAATTCAGCGGCCATTTACCCCATCATAGGCTTAGAATTGTAGATTCTCCTGGGTTTGTTTCTCTCCACATATTTATCTTTTAGTTACTTCTTAAAATTTCTTGTCAATTAATGCCTAAATTCTTTTTTGCATGCATTTATAAATGTGTTACTTTATGTTTATAGGGTATTTTTTTCTTTTACAGGATTATATGTGGATACACTAGTATGCTTATACCAATATTTTGAGCCTATATTTTGAGCCAATATTACACAACAAGTATCTATCTAGCGATCTATCTAAGTATAGATACTTGCTTTTGCATAATAAGGAATGTTCATCTAAACCAATGGGACGTTTTTCAAAATACTCATGGCTGGGACCCATTGTAGAGATTCCTGAAATCAGGACTAGTTACACAATTTGTGAGTACCAATGCAAAATGAAAATGTTGATCTCCTTTTTAAAATAAAAATATTTATTATAACACAGCAACCACAGAACATTAAACAAAGGGTGGGGGTACTTTAAGCATGGGTAAGGATTAGCATTTACTTTTCCAAGTGGAATGTGACTATCATTAATTACTCAAGAAATTCAGTTACCCAAAATGTTTAAAAGTGCTTGCTAGGAAAAGAAATCAGCCAGTGAAAAAAAAGCACAGAAAATAGCAGCATTAAACCAGAGAAGCAAATATCTGCAGGTTAGCCTACCCTTTCCGATATTAACAAGAAAAGTAAGAGCCCATATTCTTAATCATATAAAATAGGAAAGTAATTCCCTTCAAAGGAAAATAAAATAGGATAAACTCTGTATTTAAAAATGGTGCATCAGGTAGTTTTCCACCAAAGAGCAAGGCCTACATAATTAAACTCCAAAAGCCCCAAACTATGTGCAAATTTCATGTGATAAAAACACATATGAAACCAATGGATTCTATGTTCCTGAAATTTCAAAAATAATAATAATTATTTCCATAGCCTCATTGCTAATAAATCAAGGATTGAGTGTTTTGACAGGTGTAGTTATGGAATGAATTATATTTATTTATTTATAGTTTCGAAATAAGTTTTGGGCCACTTACTTTAGAAAAGGTAGTACAATTAAATGGCACAATCACAGCACTATGGTTGAGGCTGTTTTTCCTCTCTCTTTTTTCTGTTGTAGTCACTCATGTTTATTTTCATGCTCATCCAAGTCCTAATAATGAGTACATTCACAGACCCACATATATGACTGGGGTTTTTGTTAAATTATTTATATTATAGTCCTGACTTTTATTCCCCTAAAATCACTTGCTGGCAGGATGGGCTTCCAAATACACACTGGAATTATTAGGAAGTGTGGACTATGTATAGTACTACCTAAAGCCTATTCCCAGGTGTAATATTAAAACGATGGCTATTGATGCAAGTAAGAACCACCTCACCTTACCATTTCATATTTTATTCTAGCTGTATGTCTCTGCTATGAGTCTGATATACAAACTGGTAAGTTGTTCAAGTTCCAAGGGCAAAAGTAGTTTTAATATAAATTATACTCTAGGCAACTATAGCATTAAAATGTACTAAGAATGGGAGTATTAAACTATAAAATTTAAAAGTATTAGAAAGGTAATAAAACCAAATGTTTGGAGGCACAGTATTTCTCAATTTTTATGTATGTAATATGTAATAAGAAATATAATAATACTACAAGAAGGCAGATAACAAAAAAGAGAGAGAAATAAAATAGAGCTTGCCAGAAAAACAGGCAATGCATCAGTTTATCAAACACAAAGAAAAAGAAAGTAGAAGAGTTTGTGTGTGGCAGGGAGAGGTTTAAACATCAGGAGACAGTGGCTCTATCCTCTAACACATGCAAACCAATCAGTGCCTTGGAACTCAATCAATTGACATCTATTCTCTATTTCCATAAGTATTAAAGTTAAAAGAGACCTCAATCTACAAAGCCTATTCAGTCACATAGTAGGCTGTAGATTCCAGGATTGTTTTCAGAATATTAAATTGAAACATTTTCCAAAGTATGTTTGCAAAATAATAGTTACCATATAACAAATTAAAACTTCTGTTAATACCATAAAGAAAACTTATAAATTTATATAACCTGTAATAACCTATAAATCTTCAAATATGTAATTGATGTAGGCATTTAATGATACAAACTTCCCTATTAGCACTGATTTTGTTGTATTCCAGAGGTTTTGGTATTGTTTCCATTTTTATTCATTTAAAACATTTTTAAAATTTCCATCTTGATTTCGTTGTTGACCCAAAGATTCTTCAAGAGCATGTTGTTGAAACAAATAAAAAGTATTCAAATTAGAAAACAAGAAGTAAAATTATCCCTGTTTACGGACAATATGATCTTTTATCTAGAAAACCCTAAAGACGCCACCAAAAAACTCAGATTTGATCAATGAATTCCCTAAAGTTTCAGGATACCAAATCAATGTGAAAAATCAGTAATATTTCTATATACCAATAACAATTAAATGGAGAACCAAAACAAGAAGGCACTCATATTTTCATAACTAAAAAAAATAAAATAACTAGGAATATATTTAACCAAGGAGGTGAAAGACCTCCCCAAGGAAAACTACAAAACACTGATGAGAGAAATTATAGATGACACAAAAACAAATGGAAAAACATCCCATGCTCACGGATCAAAAGAATTAATATCATTTAAATGACCATATTGCCCAAAGCAACTTACATATTCAATACTATTGCTATCAAATTACCAATGTTATTTTCCACAGAATTAGGAAAAACAATTCTAAAATTCTCATGGTACCAAATAAAAGAGCCCAAATATTGAAAGCAATCCTAAGCAAAAGAAAGCTGAAAACATCCCTACCTAACCTCAAATTATAATGCAAGGCAATAGTAACTAAACAGAAAGGTACTAGTATAAAAATAGACACATAGATCAATGACACAGAACTGAGCACCTAGAAATAAAGCCACATTTTACAGCCAATTAATCTTTGACAATGTCAACAAAAACATACACCGGGAAAAGAACAATCTTTTCAATAAAATGTACTTGGAAAATCAGATTGCCATATGCAGAAGAATAAATGGACTGGACTCTTGTTTCTCACCACACAGAAACATCAACTCAAGACAGATTAGAGGCTTAAATGTAAGACCTGAAAATACAAAAATCCTAGAAGAAAATCTAGGAAAAAATACTTCTGGACATTGGTCTAGGCAAATAATTGATGACTAAGAACTCAAAAGCACAAGAAAAAAAAATAAAATGAAAAATCGACAATGGGGCTTCAACTTCAAAACTGCACAGCAAATAATAATAATAATAGTAATAATCAACAGAGTGAAAAGACAACCTGCAAAATGGGAGAAAATATTTGCAAAGTATGCATCCAACATGGGACCAATTTATAAGGAATTCAAATAATTCAACAAAAAATTTACAATAACCTTATTAAAAAGTAGGCAAAGGACATAAATAGAGACATACAAATGGCCAACAGCTATATGGAAAAGGGCTCAACATCACTAATTATCAGATAAATGCAAATTAAAATCACAATGAAATGTTATCTTAAACCAGTCAGAATGGCTGTTATCAAAAAGTCAGAAAATAACAGATGCTGGCAAAGATGTGGAGAAAATTGAACACTTATACATTGTTGGTAGAAATACCAATTAGTGTAGCCTTTATGGAATACAGCATGGAGATTTCTCAGATAACTAAAAATAGAACTACCATTTGATCCAGCAATCCCAGTACTTGAGTATCTATCTAAAAGAAAAGGAATTATGTCATAAAGATACCTATACCTGTATCTTTCTAACATCACTATTCACAGTAGCAAATATATGGAACCAACGTAAGTGTCAATCAATGGATGACTGAATAAAGAAAATGTGGTATTGGATAAGAAAATGTGGTATGCATTGGATTAAAAACTTTGATATAAATACCAGTGGATGATGGAATACAGAAAAGGGAATATTATTCAGCCATAAAAAGGAATGAAATTATGTCTTTTCCAACAACATACAGTCAAGTGAAACTACTCTGAAAGAGAAAGTCAAAGACTGCATTTTATCACTTATAAGTGGGGGCTAAATAATGTGTACATATGGACATAGAATATGGAATAGTTATTGGAAACTCAGAATGGCAGGAAGAAAAGCAGGGTGACTGATGGGAAATTAATGAATAAAATGTACATTATTCAGGTGATACATACACCAAAAGCAAAGACTTTACCACTACACAATATAATCATATAATAAAATTGCACTTATAGCCTTTAAATTTATACAAATAATAAATATTGTTTATGTGCCTAGTTTTATTGGAATTCTAGATAATAGATTTTAAAATATTGAGGTATAACTGTTTTTAAAGCTGTCATTTGTTGAACTCTTCATATTAAGCTTTGTACTAAAGTTACACATATATTAGAATTAAATAATACATATGTAATTTAATTCCAATAGTAATCCTGAGCATTAAGTATTAACTGGTGTATTGTACAGATGAGAAAATGAAGGCACAATATAATTAAACAGTCTTTAGGCCTTTCTTTGGAAAATACTTTAGCAAATGGGAGTGTTAGAGAAGTTGATCATATCTCAACTTTTTTTACTCAAAGACATGTTGGATTTTACCAGGGAAAAAAGCAACTGCATAGAAAGAAATAGAAAGTTATGAATAAAGTTAATAAATGAAGTAAAAATTATAAATTGTCAATATGAAAGACTGCTCTGTTGGTTATCTTTTGTTGAATTTAATGTAAAATTCCATATATCTGAAATAGATGTCTCGAATTGTGACTATATAATGCATTCAAGCTAGAAATCATATTAATCTTGATATTATGAAATACATATTGATGGGGAATATTAAGAACCCATGAGACTCTGGGCTTGCTTATATTTCATAAGATAATAATTTTTCCCAAAAAAGATGCATAGTTGAGGTTAATGATTCTATACATTATTCATCAATGCAAGTACTCTGAGGACTATATGTTAGTAAATGAATATACAATTGGTCCTCAAAATCTGTGGTTTCCAAATCTGTGGATTCAACCAACTACAGATCAAAATTTTTCCAAAAATAAAAAAGGATGTTTCCATCTGTAGTGAACATGTACAGACTTTTTATTGTCATTATTACATA
Source organism: Homo sapiens (assembly GCF_000001405.40). Lineage (NCBI taxonomy): Eukaryota > Metazoa > Chordata > Mammalia > Primates > Hominidae > Homo > Homo sapiens. The sequence continues at coordinate 98,805,735 of NC_000011.10, read as the reverse complement.
AACAACTTGATACAACAATTATGGACTGGACTCTTGTCTCTCACCGCTCACAAACATCAACTTAAGAGGGATCAGAGGCTTAAATGTAAGACCTGAAAATATAAAAATCCTAGAAGAAAATCTAGGGAAAAAGTACTTCTGGACATTTGTCTAGGCAAAGAATTGATGACTAAGACCTCAAAAGCACAAGAAAAATAAAATAAAATGAAAACTAGACAATGGGGCTTAAACTTCAAAACTGCACAGCATTTAAATTATACTAGGTATTATAAATAATCTGAAGATGATTTAAAGTATACTGGTGGATGTGCTTAGGTTATATGCAAATATACCATTTTATGTAAGAGATGAGTATTATAGTTTTTGGTACCCATGGAGGTCCCAAAACCAATCCTCCATGGATAACAATGATAAAGTGTATTTCTATTTTTACATGACTTATAACACAACATATGACTTTCAACTAAATATATGTACAAACATAAAATGCAAAAAGAAAAAGTTGGTTAAAATACATCAAGTTGTTAAATTAACCCACATGCAGTTAGTATGTATTCTGGGTTAAATTATTACATGTCAATTTCTAAGCACTATGAAACTAATTGTAGATATAAGCAATTTAAAATGTTGAATAAAGCCTGGATTGTGCTATAATAATTAATTTGAGTATTATTTTCTTTCTGAAGATAATGTACAAGGGTTCATTTGAAAAGTTCACAAAAAATGTGTATTATTAAAAAAAAGTATGGGCTTCAAAATGTTTTCCATCAAAATAAACTCATATATACTTGTTATAACACAACTAAACGGGATCTAACTTGAGGCACTAAACAAAATAAGACATCACTCTGAAAAGGCTCCTATCAGAGCAGCACAAATTCTGCTAAAATTGAAGCAAGAATAAACATGAAATTTGGGTGGAAGAATGGGGAAATAATGCTTTATTAAAAGTTTATGGGGGCAATGCCCCATAGAAATCAGCAGTTTACAGATAGATAACTCATTTTAAGAAGGGGTAAGACAATGTTGAAAATGAATTCTGCAGTAGCACATCATCAACATTAATTTCCAAAGGAAAAAGTAATCTTTATAATTCCCTAACTGAAAAGAACAGATGATTAACAACACAAACTGTAACCCACAGCATAGACATTTCAATTGGCTCAGCGTACACAATTCTATCAAAAAAATTAAAGTTCAGCAAACTTTCCACGTGATGTGTGCCAAAGCTATTACACCAAGATTAGCCACAGTCAATAGTGGAGACTTTCATTGAAATTTTAAATAAATATGGTCAAGATCCTTGAGAATTTTTTCAAATAACTGTAACAAGAGATAAAACATGGTTTACCAGTATGATCCTGAAAACAAAAACATAATCAAAGCAATGGCTACCAAGAATGGAAGTTGTTAAGTCAATGCAAAAGTGGATTGTTCAAGAACAAAGGACATGACAATAGTTTACTTAGTATGCTGAAAGCATTTACCTTGATGGCTCTCTGGAGAGCCCAAGAATGATAACATCTGCTCATTATAAGAGATTTTTGAGAAAGTTAGCCAAAGCTTTAGCAGAAAAATGCCCAGCTAAACTTCACCGGAGAGTCCTTCTGTACCACAACAATGCTCCTATTCATTACTTGCATCAAGCAAGAACAGATTTGTGAAAATTTCTATCATAAAACTGTAGCCATCCACCTTACTGTTATGATTAGGTTCCTTCTGATTTATTTTTGATTTCTAATATTAAAACAGTTGGGAAGGACACCCATTGTTTTTCAGTTAATAATGTAAAGAAGACTGCATTCACATGATTAAATTCTTCATCTCTTTAGAATGAACTAAATAGCTGGTATCTCTTACAAAAGTGCCTTGTCCTTGATAGAGTTTATGTTAAGAAATAAAATTTATATAGACTTAAAAACAAAAACCATATGATCATCTCTATAGATGCAGAGAAATCATTCAATAAAATCCAACATCCTTTTACAATTAAAAAAACCCAAGAAACTAGCATCAAAGAAGCATACCTCATAATAATGAGTCATCTTTGACAAACTCACAGCCAATATTGTACTGAATGGGCAAATGTTGGAAGCATTCTTCCTAAGAACTGCAACAAGGCAAAGATGTCCACTCTCACCACTCATATTCAACATAGTACTGGAAGTGCTAGCCAGAGCAATCAGGCAAGAGAAGGAAATAAAAGGCATCTAAATAGCAAAAGAGGAAGCAAAGTTTTCTCACTTTGCTGATATGATTTTATAGGAAACCCAGATGATTTTCCCAAAAGACTCCTTGACCTGATAAATGACTTCAGCAAAGTCTCAGTATATCTCAGTAATAAAGTCTGAGTAATTAAGACTCTTCAGCAGCAATTCTATACACCAATAATGTTCAAGTGGAGAAGCAAATCAACAAGATAATCCCATTTACAATAGCCACACACACAAAAAAAACCTAGGAATATATTTAATCAAGAAGGTGAAAGATATGTATGAGGTGAATTACTAAACACTGCTGAAAGAAACTACAGACAATACACATGAATGAAAAATAATTTCATGCTCATGTGTTGGAAGAATTGATATTGGGAAATGCCCTTAATGCCCAAAGCAATCTACAGATTCAACACTATCTCTATGAGTTTAACAATATTATGTTTCAATGAACTAGAAAAAAAATCAATTTATATGTAACCAAAAAAGAGCCTGAATAGCCAAAGCAATTTAAAGCAACAGAATAAAGCCAGAGGCATCACATTTCCTGGCTTCAAACTATAGTACAAGGCTATAGTAACCAAAACAGCATGGCACTGGTATAAAAATTGACACGAACACCAATAAACAGGAGAGACTCCTGAAATAAAAGCCACACACTTAAAACTAACTGATCTTCAACAAAGCAGACAAAAATAAACAACGGGGAAAGGACACCCTATTCAATAAATCATTCTGCGGAAACTGGTTAGCAATATGCAGTAGAAAGAAACTGGACACCTAATTCTCACCATACACAAAAATTAAGATGGATTAAAACCTTAACTTTAAGACCAAAAACTGTAAAAATCCTAGTAGAAAACCTAGGAAATACTCTTCTAGACATTGGCCTAGGCAGATAATTTATGATGAAGACCTCAAAAGCAAATGCAACAAAATACAAAATGGACAAATGGGACTTCTGATTAAAGAGCATCTGCAAAGTGAAATAAACTATCAACAGAGTAAACAGACAACTTACAGAATGGGAGAATATATTTTCAAACTATGAATCTAAGAATAAAGTAATCTAGTCCAGAGGAGTAGAAGGCATGGGCCATGGACTCCACACCTCACCAAATAATGACTGATTTCCATATGAAAATATTCTGTCATCCGAAACAAAGTATCTGTTATATCATTGATGATTTTTATTAACATTGAAATGCTTTCCAAGTTATTTCCAAGGATAAAGAAAAATATTAGCATATTCTTTTTTTTTCCAAATGGTCCTCTCTCACTTCCATACAGTCCTCCTAACAGAGATATCATAGGCAAATTTTTCCTAGAAAATATATTTCACCACATGACCAGAAACACTAGAAGGATTAGAAGTGAAAAGAGGAAATGTAATGTATTCTACTTTTTTTTTTCTTTTTTAAGACAGAGTTTTGCTCCTGTCACCCAGGCTGGAGTGCAATGGTGCCATCTTGGCTCACTGCAACCTTTGCCTCCTGGGTTCAAGTGATTCTCCTGCCTCAGCCTCCCAAGTAGCTGGGATGATAGGCATGTGCCACCACATCTGGCTACTTTTATATTTTTAGTAGAGACTGGGTTTTACTATGTTGGCCAGGCTGGTCTCAAACTCTTGACCTCAGGTGATCTGCCCGCCTTGGCCTCCCAAAGTGCTGGGATTACAGGCCTGAGCCACCACGTCCGGCCTTATATCTATTTTCAATTTGTAAAATGTGCCATCCACAGCAAGGTGTCAATGTAATTACAGTGGAGGGAGGGTTCACAACACAAAAGATTTATTATAAAGAAGATGAGAATGTTGGAAATGTAAGATTACTGTAGGAAGTACGTATTATTGATTCCTGTGACTGTTTTTGAGGCGCCACCATGCCCGGCTATTTTTATATTTTTAGTAGAGACTGGGTTTCACTATGTTGGCCAGGCTGGTCTCAAACTCTTGACCTCAGGTGATCTGCCCGCCTTGGCCTCCCAAAGTGCTGGGATTACAGGCCTGTGCCACCACGTCCGGCCTTATATCTATTTTCAGCTTGTAAAATGTGCCATCCACAGCAAGGTGTCAATGTAATTACAGTGGAGGGAGGGTTCACAACACAAAAGATTTATTAAAAAGAACAAGATGAGAACGTTGGAAATGTAAAATTACTGTAGGAAGTACGTATTATTGATTCCTATGACTGTTTTTGAGACTGTATAAGTAATATGTATTTCATGTGCACAATCTGAACAAAAATATAACAAAATTTTTAAAGTCAAAAATATTCCCATAATTTTTAATAGATCTTGACTCTTGTAGGTGGGGTGGTGGGGTCAGGGAAGAGAGAGTGAATGAGAAAGAGGTTAGATGAATTATTCTCCTCTCTAAGGAGGCTTAAATTTTGGACTTAGGCTCTGTTTTACTCCTAGCTCTGTGATGTTGTCCTTATGTATAGGGCCCGGCCATTTCATCTAGGGGTTCATCCTTCTGGAGACTCAAATGAAAGCTAACTGCTCTTAATAAGTCCGTGCCACTTTGTCAGGTTTTCAATACTTTTTCTCCCCCAGGACGTGCTGAAATGTCTTTACTCTTCAGCTTCCCAGCTGGATTTTTTTGCTATGCTTTATGAATACTTGCTTTGTACATGGCTGAGCTTACAGCTGTGTGGCGCAGGTGGTCTGTAAGCAGCATTCATGGAACTTTTCTGCATTTCTGTCTTCTCTAGGGTTTTGCCCTTTAATTCCAGCCACTTTACAATTTCCAAACTCTGTTCAGTCCAGTAAAACTGCTACTTTCTAAATGGATTACCTTTCATTTTATGCTGAGATTTAGAAAATATGACATTAAGTTTAAAAAAGTAGATGTGAACCAGGAGCTCATTTCAGATGTTGTTTTTTTTTGTTTGTTTGTTTGTTTTTTTGAGGAGTCTCACTCTGTTTCCCAGGCTGGAGTGCAGTGGTGCCATCTTGGCTCACTGCAACCTCTGCCTCCCGGGTCCAAGTGATTCTCCTGTCCCAGCCTCCTGAGTAGCTGGGATTACAGCTGCATGCCACCACACCAGGATAATTTTTGTACTTTTAGTAGAGACAGGGTTTCACCATGTTGGCCAGGCTGGCCTTGAACTCCTGACCTCAGGTGATCTGCCCACTTTGGCCTCCCAAAGTTCTGGGATTACAGGCGTGAGCCACCGTACTTGGCCGTTGTCCTTTTTTCATTCATCATAGCCTTCAATCCTGCATGCCTCCCTTTTTCTCCAATGTCCTAATTGTTTTATACATTTTTATTATATGTATTTTGACCAATTACTAACATTCTTCTGTGGTTATGTCAGCCTAATATAAGCTTCTTCATTTTTCCTGGGGCCAAAAATATTTTTTAAAGATTTTAATCTATTTTCTTTCAATTTAAACATTCCATATGACTGACATTGATTTCTGTGAATGGCTAGATGTAAAGGATTCAAAATCCTCTTTCCTCATTTTGATAATTAATTCCATCAGCACTATTTCTCATATAATTTATCCACAAATTCCCAACTAAGTTGTAATGCCACTTTTGCCATATATCAATTTTTCTAATATGCATATTTGAGCTTGAATCAGGACTTCCTTACATCTTTGTTTTAGCTATCTTAATTTAAAAATATTTATTTATAAGGTTAAATATATTGTTAGGATATGTTTTCTTACCTAGCAATTCTTCAAGAAAAATTCACAAATTTAAATTGAATTATTTCATGTATGTTTTAGTTAGTAAGCTAGAGGGTGGTTACATGGGTATTTATTAATTTACATACATTTATCTACCATATTCAGAATTAAAAGCTCTGAAGTATTTTATGTATGTATATGTATATGTGTTTCTATTTATAAAATACGTCATTTGATTAACTCAATATATACCCATATATGTGTGTACATTCCATTCTCTTCTTCATTTCAATATAGCAATTACCCATGCGATCTATAGTTTTTCATACTATTGATGACATTGTAATATTCAACAGCATGCTTGCATTATATACTTATCTATATCCTGTATACATTTTTTTCCACTCATAATAAAAGTGTCAGGTGAGTATGACTTTCACATATATATTTTCTTTGAGGAAATTAAAAGCTATTATACTATCATAATATTTTTGCCATTCCTATTTGTAATGTTAAAATGCCCCCCCCAAAAAAAAATTCAACTAGCAGTGTTCAAAAATTGCCTATTTTCTGAGTATTATCTTTGTTGACTTTTCACCAATATGATTAGCAACAAAAAAATATAGCTTTGATTTACATTATAACTATCTGTGTAGTAAAATGGATTTTCGAATGTTTAGAGGTATCATTCTTTTTATTTTTTTCCTATATAATTATTGATTGTACAGGTAATTATTGTCAAATAAGAGAGAAATAAATACATATAAATACACCATCTCTGTATACTTGACTCAGTCTATTTTCAGAGACATATCATAGTTGAAAGCACTTCATTTACATTATAGGTCTACACAGTATATCGGACTCTCTTACTCTCAGGGCAGTTTCTGCTGCCAATTTTCATTCCTCAATTTCTGTCATCTTTGGATTCAGGCCGTCAGTATCCACAGAACCACTCTGACTCCAGTGATTTCCTCATCAGCTCCTGCTGTGTTTTGTGCATGAAATCTTAATCAGTGTGCTCCATCTTTCTTTAAACGCCAAACCTCAAATTTAACATAATCATTCTGTACCATCTCTTGTCTACTGATTAGACAGAAGCATTGACACACAATTTCTTTATAATTATAAAACATGCCACTGAGTAAAGAGTGTATATTTTTGGCATTATGTATGTGGCATCTGCCCTAACCCATTTTTAAAATTTAACCTGCTACATCACTAAAATTTTATCTCCTTATAGTACAGTTTGTATGGGTCCACAATCATCTATTTGCATTTTAAAAATATAAGAGAAGCACCTGAAAACAGACAAAAAGCCACTTCTTTTATGCTTGTCTCCAAAACTAATTTGATGACAAAGCATATTATGAAAGAATATAAATTTATTCATTTTTCTCACTGAGAAAGAATATTTATATTTTGCTACAGAAATAATGTGTTTAATTATAAAGTACCATATTCCACTGTATACAAACATCTAATATTACATATTTATATGATAAATATATAATAAAATATGATACAAAAATAAATTTTACATATACAAATATATAATATATGCACAGTACTATCCTTAGGAAAGACTAAAAAATTCAAAATTCTGAAACAAATTTGGCCACAAGGATTTCTAAAACAGTAATGGTAATCTATATTAATTTTTCTTCCTTTAAGTGCCAATTCTACCATTTTCTAATCTATGCAAATTTGAGTAAGTTACTTAATTTTTACTGTTAAAGCAGGCCATCCAAATAAAATTAGAATAACAATGGTTCATCACAAGGTTGTTGTGAGAAAGATCAATGTACACAGAAATGTAGAACAACTTATGGCAGATAAAAATGTTTAAATCACATTATTATTAAAATTGTTTTTTTCTCACTTTTCTTTTCATCTTCTTTTTTATTATTCTATGTCACAACTTGTAAAGAAAATCTGTTCCATCAAGGATTTATCATTTTTCTCTACTCACTAATTCTAAACTATATCATTACTATCTCATGTCTCAATATACGTTTGTGCTCAATGAATGTCAATATAAACTTCTTTCCATTAACATATTCTACAATTTCTAATTGAGTTCTTAATCGGTCAGGAAATTAATATAATGTGGAGATGGGAACAATTATATATGATGATTAGGTAGTTTAATGCATTTATATCAAACGTAGATTTTAATAGATTTATTGAGTTTTAGAACAGTCAATATTTTGTTATGTTCATTGAGTCTCACTTAATTTGTTATTTTATAAACAAAGGAGTGATGATGACAGTTAAGAAATAATTTAACTTCTTCCACTAATTTTGTGGAAAAGAAAGCTTTAAAAGAAAAATATATATTATATATTTTTATGTATTTTTATTTTTATTTTATATAAGACAATGAAGTATGTGTGTATATATATATTTGAATTATTTTTTCATTAGAGATTTCCTGTGGTAGCTTTACACATTGGAAATTTTGATTACTGGAGATGTCATAAGGTAAAAGCCCACAAGGTAAAAAATTTATATTAACTCATGAATCAATAACCTTGATAGAGATGTCAAAATGTGAAAGTAAAAATTATTTTCCATTGCCCCAGGGAGCATTTACCCACTACTGATAGACTGTTACAAAAGCCAAATCATAACAAAAGTTGAAAAATTTGGTAATGCTCTCAATAATCCTAAGGATTAAGAGGATAAATTTATCAGATAGCATCATGCCTTTGGAAGAGATTAACTATTTCAGATAAAGATTTAGAATGTAACTGAAGTAAATAGCCACAGGAAGAAAGAGAAAGGCAATTCAGGAAGACAAAAAAATAGAATATTTCTAACTCTGCTCATTACTGATTTAAAAGAAGTTACTTAAAGAATAGAAGATGAGAGGCGAGAAAGAGAATGGTATTCTCACTGAACTAAAATTGAGCATTTTCTTTTCCTAAATGCAGAATTCCTTCTCCAATAATTATTCTTTCTTTGCATGCTAAGCCCTTAAAACTACTATGTACTACCTTTATAGGGTATCCTCTTTGGAATTTATGCTTCTCAGATCCGTTTGTCAGAAACCTGAACTGTGTCCTCTTGAAGCAGTTTTCACATAAAAATTACATGTTCTTTTTATAAAGTACACTGTTTGATTTAGTTGCTGGTTGAAGTACAGGGTCATCAGATACTTACTGGGGACAGGACTGGATATATAATTTGTGGAACCCAGTGTATAATAAAAATTTAAGACATCTGATTTAAAATGATTATGAATTTCAGAACAGATACAGCAGAGCATTAAACTGAGCTGGAGCACCTTTCTAAAGGGAGAGCCTTGTGGGACTGCACATTCATGAAACAGGCTCTGAAAGCGTCTATATCTGTGTCACTAGCCATGTGTTCCCTAAACAACCAAGCACCTGAAATTCTTAGTGCAACTAACAATTTGAACACATCAATTTAAAATTTAAATGTATAAAGTACAGCAGAATAAAATATTTTTCTTATAAATGAAACTGTAACGTTTTGGAAAGATTATATCTTATTTTAGTCAGTGAAAATTCTGTGTATCAATTGATATGTGATATAAGTGTAAGACTATACTGGTTTCAAAGACTAATGAAAAATATAGTACAAAAAAAGAAGGAAATACTTCAATACATGTTTTATATTAATCGCATGGAATGACAATATTTTGTATATATTACATGAAGTAAAACATGTTTAAAGTTAATTTTGCCTCTTGAATTTTACTTTTTATATGTGATTCTTAGAAAATTTTCAATTATGCATGTGGTATACATTATACTTCTGTTGGATAGTGCTGACCTCTGGAAAATTTTCTTTGGGGTCTGCAATTCTTAAACACCATGTGTCCTTGAAACTTAACATTTCTAAGCATATCCTATAATTGAGAGGGCAGTTATCAAAATTTAATGTACACTAAATCTCACTGGACATAAAATCCAGAGGCCTTTACTTTCTAAAATAGCCTGTGAGAATGCCGCTATATATCTCAGCACTTGACCTAAGAATACATTAGTCAGAATAAAATTTGACAGCTTTATATTTTGTTAACTCAGACTGTACATGTCAGAAAAACTAGCATTGTACCGAAAGAGTTGCTATTTCTAATTTCTTCATATTTTGATCAAAGGAGAAAGTCTGCAAGGAGAAAAAAAGAAAGAAGAGAAAGAAAATTTCAAGAAGTTAATGATTGTAAAGAGAAATTAAAAGAATAAATGAAGAAAAATAAAAAATTTTTGAAATAATTTTAAAAATCTAGTAAGTATCCAGAAAAACACTTTGTCTGAATTAGTGAAATAATTTTCACACAGGCTTTAGATTTCCTTTGCTTGTGTTCTCAGGCAAGTACACCATTACAACCTAGACTTTCGAGAAAGCAGAAGCTTAATTTGATAAGAATAATAACAACAGTATTATTTAGTCAGATGTGATGTAATTATTGAGAAGCCAGACTTTACTTGATATAGTTGATACATAAAAAGCAGTTTTGGAACTGAACTCTGGCATGACTTGAATGGGAGGATTTGACGAGGCTACTTATTATAACTTCAGCATTCTCCATGGGTAAATAGTGGAGAATGATGAGCACCATAACTCTTCCTACAATCACCCTTGTATTTTACAGAGAACATTGTCCCATTGAGAATACAAACTTACATTTTCAAAAAACCTTTTGACTCTTGCCATTTTGAATCCTTGAGGACTGTTTTATTTTGCAAAATTAAATAACAGTACAAGTAGTGGCCAATCAATACTAGCTGTATGAGTTTGGGCTTGTAAAATGAGAACAGATTTTAAAATGTTTGTAAATAGTTTTATAAAGTTTATATCAATTTTATTGTTTTTCTACTTATTACATCATTATCAATATTTTCATTTTCTAAGGGTTTTTCTCCTTTTATTTTTAGTTAGCACATAATAATTGCATCGATTTATGGGCTACAGTGATATTTTAATACATGTATACAATGTGTAATGATCAAATCAGGGTAATTGAGATATCCATCATTTCAAACATTTGTCATTTATTTGTCTTCAGAACATGCAAAATCCTCCCTTCTAGCATTATGAACATATACAGTAATTACTAGTAACTATATTTATCCTGCAGGGCTACAAAACACTAGAACTTACCCTCTTACGTAGCTGTATTTTTCTATTAACCAACCTCTCCTTATTCTCCCCTTCTTTTTGCCCTTCTCAGCACCTAATAACCTTAATTCTACTCACTACTTCTTTGAGCTTATTTTTAGCTCCCACATGTGAGTCAGAATATGCATTATTTATTTTTCAGTGCCTGACTTTTTTCACTTAACATGATATCCTACAGGTTCATCCAAGTTGCTATGAATTATAGGATTTCATTCTTTTCAAAGCTGAATAGCATTCTACTGTGTATTTATGCCATATTTTCCTTAAGCATTCACATGCTAATAAACAGGTTGATTTCGTATCATTGCTATTGTGCATAGAGCTGCAATAGACCTGAGGGTTCAGGTATCTCTTCAACATACTGCTTTCTTTCTTTTGAATCCATTGCTTTCCCTAGAGCAAGATTCCCCAATATTTGCTTTATATATCTGGGTGCTCTGGTGTTGGGTGTGTATGTATTTATGATCATTATATTATCTTACTGAATTATTCCCTTTATCATTAGGTAATGATCTTCTTTGACTCTTTGTACGGCTTTTGATTTGAAGTCTGTATTTTATCTGATGTAAGTATATCCTCTCTTGTTCTCTTTTAGTTTCCATTTGGAAGGAGTATTTTTTTTTTTTACATAATTTAACTTTGTGTTTTTACTGTGAAAATGAGTTTCTTATAGTGAGCATAGACTTAAGTCTTTTTTTTTTAATCCGTTAAGTCGGTCTTTATCTTTTAATTGGGAATTTGAACCATTTTGATTCAAAATTGCCATTCATAGGTGCGAACTTACTCCTGTCATTTTGTTATTTTCTCATTGTTTTCATATCCTTTGTTCCTTTTTTCCTCTCTTATTCTTTTTGTGGTTTGGCGGTTTTATATAATGATAACATTTGTTTTCTTTTCTTTATCTTTTACATATCTGCTCTACCTTTAAGTTTTTTACCTTCATGTGTTTTCACAATTGTAGATATTGTCCTCTTTCAGATATAGGATCCCTTAAGCATTTCTTATAGGACCAGTCTAGCAGTAATTAACTTCCTCAAGTTTTTGCTGAGGTCTGGGAAAGACTGTATTTCTCCTTCATTTATGAAAGATAGCTTTTCTAGGTATAATATTCTTGGCTGACATTTTTTTTCTTTCAATATTGAATATACCCATCCTATTCCTTGTGGCAGTGAACCTTGCACAGGTTGGTACCTGAGTTTCTGTATGGTGTGTGGGCCCTCAGTGGCCCACTGCTGGAGGAGACAAAGTAATCACTGGCAGTGATGTGCCCACGCACGAGGCACTCATGCTTTGGTGAGCAGATGCTTCAACTCCTTTTGTCCCAGGGCCAACTTTCCTGATTTGCTAAACTGCCTGTTCCTAGGAATGTGGGATGCCACAAGGGTTAGGGTACTAGGAATATGGCTGCACTGCTGGGTCTAACTGCTGTAAGATACTCCAGCCCTCTGGGTTGATGTGAGGTCACGTCAGCATTGCCTCAAAAGGTGAAGTTGCAAGGGATATTGAGGTCCAAGGAAAGATGTAGTCTAGTGTTGGCTTTGCTCTCAAGGTGGCACTTTGCTACAGCAACTTGGGTCCTGGGGGGATGGGAGGCACTCAGCATGAATTCTCTCTCTAGAATAATGTACTCCCATGGACTCCAGACAACTCCCCATAGTAAGCTTAGGGCCTGTGAGAGCTGTGGGGCTACCCTGTAGCTAGAATTATAGGCACCTATGGAAGAAAGGTAGTCTACTGGGGATCTTCTGCTTACCTTTTCTCCACCAAAGGAAATCTCTCGTGGCTCCAAGGTCCATTTTTTGAGTTTTTAATGGTCATACAATGACATGGGTATTAAGAGTTTATAACTACAAAAGTATAAATAATGATATTGATTAAAGGGTAATACTGTTTCTTTTCTTCCTTTGGCAGCATATTACCCTAACTAATTTAATTTTACCATGCATTAAGCAATAATGCAATAGCAAGGCTTAATGATTAAAATAGTAAGTGTTTTTAGGACTTATAGTACTACTTTTGCCTTTTTTCACAGGTATTTAAGATCTCTTTAGCATAGATTTAGTTTGAAAAATATCTCATTTGAAATACTTTTGCATTTCTTCGTTTTTTTAAATTTTCACTTTTTCCATGTTTCTTTGAAGACTGTGCAGAGAAATACTGGGAAATAAACCAGTTTTTCTTCTTGTATCTGCAACTTTTGATAAGAAAATAAATAAACAGAATTATGGAGAGAAAGGTTAAATCTTAAATAAGATTATTAAACTTCAGATTATTTCTAACATCAATTTTTAGTAATTATACTGACTCTAAGTATATTGCATTTTATGAATCCTCAATAAATCTACATAAAACTAAAACAAATAGCACTACACTGTTGCCACAACCAACCCTTTCTCTACACCCAGGAGGCCACTGAAACGTTCTAAAATACGTGAGTATTGTATGTATACCCGAAGTCTGTCTAGCTAATGTTTTGTTCTATACCTTATTATAGTATGAATAGTATATACAATATCTTTAATGCAAAAAAATTACATTTAGAGGTCTTAAATACAAAAATAGATGGCAATAATTTTTGGGAGTTAGTAAAATTCAGATTCAGTGACATAGATGTCAGGATATACATCGCATTGATATGAGAAATTAGTAGAAACATTTAAAGATTACAGTAAATTTTAATGTTATAAGCTAGGGAAAAGTTAAATATTAATCTATATATAAATATAATAGATCTATTATATAATAAATCTATATATAAATATATAAATCACAACAGATTACCTCACCATGGGATATGAAGCTAGTTTAGAGAGAGGACCCAAGATTCATTTCGTAGGAAAAATAAAATTCTAGGTACACTCAAATGACAAGAAAATCTAATGTAGCTAGTACTATCTTCATTACATGAGTAGTCTGCGCTAAATTTTTGGTTTCAGTGCAGCTTCAAATGTCTTCTACTCAGTTTGGCTAGCATTCAGGTAGAAAGGTTCTAGTTGCCATATTGAAGAAAATGGCAGCTACAAGAAGACTGAAGAAGAACATTTCACTGCCAATAAAGGCTGGCTTCATCATATCAGAAATTTCAGCTTGCATCGTGCTTTTAATGGTCCCAGACTACTTTGCAATGTAAGGACTGTCTGTATATAGAAAAGTTGAACTGCATAATCAACTAATTTTAATTAATTAACATTTATAGATTAATGCATATCTCCCCACCAGACAGCAGAATACACATTAATTTCAAGTGCATGCAAAACGTTTATCAATATAGACTATATTCAGGGACATAAAACAATTATTGATATAGTTAAAAAAGATTCAAATCATATGAAGTGTGTTATTTGACCACAATGGTATTAACTTACAAGTTCACAACAGAAATATCTTTACAAAATTTTAATATTAGCAAACTAAATGCTTTTAGCCTATGTGCTGAAAAAGCAACTAAAGAAAAAGCTATCAGTATTTTGAGGATGTGAAGGGACAAACATACTCATAGATTTCTGGTGGGAATAGAAACTGGAAAATAGAAACTGTTTCTTTTTCATTTGTGTTTTTCCAGATGGAGTCTTGCTCTGTCACTCAGGCTGGCATGCAGTGGTGCGATCTTGGCTCACTGCAACCTCTGCCTCCCGGATTTAACAATTCTCCTGCCTCAGCCTCCAGCGTAGCTGGAATTACAGGCACATGCCACCACACCCGGCGTTTTTTTTTTTTTTTTTTTTTTTGTATTTTTGGTAAAGATGGGGTTTCACCATGTTGACCAGGCTGGTCTCAAACTCCTGACCTTGTGATTCATCTGCCTCAGTCTCCCAAAGTGCTGGGATTACAGGCATAAGCCACCACACCCAGCCAGAAAAAAACTACTTTGGAAAATAGTTTGTTACTGTCTTTAAAAGTTACAAATATGTCTACCCTAAGATCCCGGGATTTTTACCCTTAAATAGTTCTCAAGATTTAAAAAAAAAAAAAAAGCACATGCCCTTGCAAAGACTTGGAAGACTTGCACATGAATATTTATAACAGCTTTATTTGTAGTGGCCCCAAATTGTAAACAATCCAAATGACCATCGCAAGTGAACAAATTAACAGATTGTGGCCATTCATCTAATGGAATACTGCTCAGCAATGCAAAGAAATGAGCTATTTATTGGTACAGAAAACACCATGGTGGATCTCAAAATCATTGTCCTCAGTGATAGAAATAAAACAAAGCAAAAAAAAAAAAAAGAGGACATACTCTATGATGCTATTTATATACAATTATAGAAATTATAAGGTAACGTGTAGTAATCAAGTTTTGCCTTGGAATAGTAGAGAGTGGGCAGTGTAGGGGCAGGAAATGGTTACTAAAGATCACAGGGAAACACCTGAAGATAGTGTCTATGTTCACCATCTTGACTGAGGAGATGGATTTATGTGTGTGTGTGTGTGTGTGTGTGTGTGCATAAAACAATACATATAAAATACATAGCTTAGTTTTTCACTTAAAACTCAATGAAACTGTCTTAAAAAAAGAAAATAAATGTAAGTTTTAGATTTTGCTTTATCTTATACATTAGAAGCATATGCAGTTTATAGTTAACACACAAAAGCAGCCATACTTAACTCTATGGATCTCACAGAGAAATATTACATGAAAAAATCATGTATACATTGATTTTTGAAGGACTAAGCAACATGTATGGTATAGAAAGGATATTCTATTTGTAGCCTGTGAAAAGTGAGAAATGTCATGGTTACTTCATAAATGTTCAAACATTATAGATAGACAAGAAAAATATTTAAAATGCTTTTTAAAAGCTATAGGTAAGGGAGTAGTCACACTGCATAGCATGAAAGCAATCAAAATAGCAGCCAATTGGTAGAGGTAGATTGAGAAAAATTTCCAGGTAAAAATCACACAATGAGCATCAAGTTAGGGAAAAGTTTTAAAAAAAACCACATATACAGAAACAGAAATAACATTTTAAAAACTATTTTCCCTGTACTTTATGTCTATGAACAGTTGTTTTTTCTTTAATTTTTTTCTGAAGAAGGGCTCTCACTGTGTTGTCCAAGATGGAGTTTTGCAGTGCAGGCACTATTCACAGGCATGATCATTGTACACTAGAGTTCCTCCAGTCTTAGCCTCCTGATTAGCTAGGACTACAGGCAGGCATCATCAGACCCAGCTGGAATACTTAAAAATGATCACTGTAGACTTGTAGTATATTTTGAAGTCATGTAATATGATGCCTCTGAGCTTTATTCTTTTTGCTTAGGATTGCTTTGGATATTCAGGCTCTGTTTTGGTTCCATATGAACTTGAGAATTTTTTTTTTTGCTAATTCTCTGAAAAATAAAATTCATTGTTTGATCAAAATAGCACTGAATCTTTATATTGTTTTGGCCAGTAGGGACATTTTAACAATATTGCTTCCTCAATCCATGAGCATGGGATGTTTTTCCACTTGTTTATATTGCTATGATTCCTTTAAGCAGTATTTTGTAGTTCTTCTGGCACAGAACTTTCACATCCTTGGTTAGATATATTCCTGGGTATTTTTTTATGTGTGTGGCTCTTGTAAACAAAACTACATTCTTGATTTGGTTTTCAATTTGAATGTTATTGGTGTATAGAAATGCTACTAATTTTTGTACATTGATTTTGTATCCTGAAACTACTGAAGTTGTTTATCAATGCTATAAGTTTCTTGCAGAGTCTTTGGGGTTTTCTAAGTATAGAATCATATCATCAGTAAAGGGAGATAATTTTTCTCTTTTTCCAATTTAGATGCCTTTTATTTCTTTCTCTTGCCTGATTGCTCTGGCTAGCACTTCCAGTACTACGTTGAATAGGAGTGGTGAGAGTGGGAATCCTTATCTTGTTCCAATTCTTAAATGAAATGCTTTGAGCTTTTGCTCATTCAGTATGATATTGGCTGTGGATCTGTCCTAAATGGTTCCTATTATTTTGAAGTACGTTCTTTTGATGCCTAGTTTGTTGAGGGTTTTATCGTGCATGCTGAATTCTATCAAAAGCTTTTTCTGCATCTATTGAGATGATCAAAACAGCATGGTACTGGTAGAAACAAACAAACAACAAATGCATAGACCAATGGAATTGGATAGAGAACCCAGAAATAAAGCTGCACAACTACAGACTCTTGAGTAACAAGCATGAGGAAAGGACTCCCTATTCAATAAACAGTCCTGGGATAACTTGTTAGCCATATGCAGAAAAATGACACTAGACTCCTACCTTTCATCATATACAACAATTAATGCAAGATGAATTAAAGACTTAAATTTAAGACCCAAAACTAGAAAAACCCTAGGAAAAAAAAACAATTTGGAAAATATACTCTGGACACCAGCCTTCACAAAGAATTTATGACAAAGTCTCCAAAAGCAATTGCAACAAAACAAAAATTGAAGCATGGGACCTCATTAAAGATTCTTCACTGCAAAATAAACTATCAACAGAGTAAATAGACAACCTACAAAATGGGAGAAAATACTCACAAGCTAAGCATCCAACAAAGGCTAAATATCCAGAATCTATAAGGAACATAAACAACTGAACAAGCAAAAAACAAGTAACTCCATTAAAAAGTGCGCAAAGGACATGAACAGACACTTCTGAAAAGAAGAAACACATACAGCCAACAAATATATTCAAAAATACTCAAATCACCAATCATTCGAGAAATACAAATCAAAACCACAACGATATACCATGTCAACCCAGTCAGAATGGGTATTACTGAAAAGTCAACAAACAGATATTGGCAAGGTTGTGGAGAAAAGGGAATGCTTATACTCTGTTGGTGGGAATGTATATTACTTCAGCCCCTGTGGAGGGCAATTTGGAAATAGACATGTCTCAAAGAACTTAAAATAGAACTGTCATTTACCCTAGCAATACCATTACTGGGTATATAACCAAAGGAAAATAAATTGTTTTACTAAAAAGGCACATGCATTTGTATGTTTATCACAGCACTGTTCACAACAGCAAAAACATGGAATCAAACTAGATGCCCATAAAGGGTGGATTAGATAAAGAAAATGTTGTACATATATACACCATGGAAAACTATGCAGACATAAAAAAGAAAAATCCATGTCCTTTGCAGCAACATGGATGCGGCTGGAAGACATTATCCTAAACAAATAAATGCAGGAAGCAAATAAAACAGAAAAACCAAATACTGTATGTTCTCACTTATAAGTGGGAGCTAAACATTGAGTACACATGGACATTAAGAACAAAACAATATCCAGTAAGAACTACTGGGGTGGGGGATGTGAGGGCTGGAAAACTACTTATCAGGTACTATGTTCACTACCTGGATAACAGGATCATTCATAGCCCAAACCTTAGCGACATGCAATTTACCCATGTAACAAACCTGCCCATGTACCCACAAACCTAAAATAAAATTTTAAAAAGAAAAGAAATAAAAAATTAAAAATAGTCGAAGGACACAACTTTATTGTTGATGAATGATTAAAATATAAAGATGTATCATCTGTGACTCCCAGAGTAATTGCAAATGATGGCCAATACTAAGGTCTTTGTTGTTATTGCCAAGATATACCTGCCTCTAGCTATGGAAATACACCTATAGACAGATTTTGACCTTACAAAAATTTTGAGTCACATATTAACCTTGGAACCTTGAGCCATATCTAAATGCTCATTGCTGCCAATTCTTACATCTTTGTGTTAAGATTCCTTCTCCAGTATTTTCATGAATATTGGAATAAAAATATTTGTTTCTATTATTATGAATACTGGATGAAATTAGTTGGATATTAACATTTTGTATGAGCATGTATATGATACAGAAAAATATAAATACATCACAAATGCTATATCCATTTCAATACATGCATGTGTATTCTTATATATTTGCATGTGCCTATGTAAAATATCCTTTAATATATGAGCTCAGATATATGTGTGCACACAGGTACAACTTAATGTGAATATTCATTTAGACACAAGAAGAATAAAACTTAAGAGATCCATGAAATTTTAAACAGATAATTATATCAATAGAATAAGCACATTATAATCATTATCATTATATCTAAGGACAATACTGGAGATCATTAACAGATAATTCTACTCATTGAAAAGTGATTTTTTATTATCTGTTTCAAAATTTCATTTGCTTTTATTTAAGATATTATATTGTTTATAATCTTCAGAGTCACAAAGAAAAATATTCGTATAACAGTGAATTCTAAGGAAAGCCAAAAAATGTAAAACAAACAAAATTAATTAAGAACAGTTCAATCTTCTACTCACCATCCTATTTGGTCTTGGCAGGCCGGTTTTTCTTGACAGTAGAAAAAAAATTATCTAGAGCTACTATTTCTACAAAGACAAGAAGTTCAAGGTGAATTTGATCTGTCAGACTAGGAAAAGGAGTAGAGGTGACACTTTAAGCTAATAATGAGTTTAATAGGAAACTTTGACCAGCTCAATTTTGCAGAATCACATACATATAAGATACTTCCCGTTTGCTTGTAAGCAAAGCTTCATGTAAACGGTTCCATTTAAATGAACATAAATTTTGCTTATAGTGCATGCCACAAAAAAGACAATTCTATGGACTCTCCCTGGAACTAGGTTGCTTTCTTTTAATTTCACATTTCCTCCTTCAAGAATTTCTAGAAATATAATTTCCATTGAGGAAGACCAACATAAAGATATTTTGAATTTGCCTGGGCTGAGGTGAATCCCAAGTGAAAAATCTCCAGCAGAAGGTTTTTATTTTTATCTGCTATTTGAGTCAGTGCTGTTATTAAATTCTAATTACAAAATCTAGTTATCTAATAGTTTTTAAGTTCTTACTAATTGCTATTTCACTGTAAAGAATGGGATGCCATTCCATTTCTGCACTGGCATAAGCTTATTAAGGTTGCAGATCATTTATTCAAATACAGTAAATGATGAATCAAACTGAAATCCTACCAGATGTCCTAAAATTCCATTATTAAAAATAGTGACTATGGTTTCTCAAATGCCAATGTGTGTTTATATCCACCCTTGGATTGATATTGGTGGATATTAATCCCTTTATTGTATTACATGAACCAGTATAAGGTAAAAACTCTAAGCTTTTGAATTATAATTTGTTATAAAACGACAGTGATTCCTTGAATTAACTCTTGGATGTTCTATTACATGTTTTTGTAAATATATACCATATCAATGTATGCAAATGCTAACATCTTATTTACATGGTTTTTCTTTATTGTCACTCTATACCACCAAACCTAAGCTTTATTATGCCTTCTTTTTTAAATGTGGCATGCCTATTCATATGTTTCTATAATTTTGCTCATGCTTCTCCCTCGGTATGAAATTTTTTAATCGCCTTCTTCAGTAAATAAAAGTCTATATTTCAAAGCTCCTCACAAATACGACCTACATGAAGCCTTTAAAATTCTACTAGTATGGGGCGGGCGCGGTGACTCACACCTGTAATCCCAGCACTTTGGGAGGCCAAGACGGGCAGATCACGAGGTCAGGAGATCGAGACCATCCTGGCTAACACGGTGAAACCCCATCTCTACTAAAAATACAAAAAAATTAGCCGGGCATGGTGGCAGATGCCTGTAGTCCCAGCTGCTCGGGAGGCTGAGGCAGGAGAATGGTGTGAACCTGGGAGGTGGAGCTTGCAGTGAGATGAGATCGCCACACTGCCCTCCAGCCTGGGCAACAGAGCAAGACTCTGTCTCAAAACAAAAAAAAAAAATCTGCTAGTATGGACTTGATCTGGACTATATGTTTATGTCATATTGGATTTGTTTATATACCTATTATAATTCTCTTTATACTTGAGGTTATCTACAAAGCATGAGTTACGAGTTAGCTTTAGAGGTAAAATTACATAAAAGTTCCTGTAAATGAAATACACAAATGTTATAAAGCTTATCTTTCTCCTTTTGCCATTTCTTGTTACATTTTTACACCAAATGAGCACTCTATTTTTTTGTTGTACTTTGTTTTCATAAATCCAGACTAAACTAGGTTCTAATGAGAGACAAAAGGTCAAATAAAAATTTATGGCATGAGATATGTTGATTCTACCAAACTGGATACTTTATTGAGTACATATTTCAGCTACTTTCATGTACATTGCTTTAATACTTATAAATGAATTAAACACTGTGATGTCTAGTTTCCTGATGATGATAAATGGGTACATAGTGTTAAAAATCGTACCAGAGTCACTCAAATGATAAATGGCAAAGTCAAGAGTCAAGTAACTCTCATTACATCACTATTGGAGAAAAGAAATGTAGTAACAATGGACTTATAGAGTTTTTGCCATTGCTAGACTATTGTGTACATTGTATCATGCTCTTCTGGATTAAAGTTGAAGGTTGCTTGTATGTTTTTTGTTTGTTTGTTTTTACCTTATCTCAAAATAAGGATTTGCTTAGGAAAACAATAAAAAGTGTTGGACTTATTCTAGTAACACACTTTCTTCCCACATATATATTTAAATAAACTCTGATAGTTAAAAACATGTCCCCAAAATATGTATCTATACCTTGTTGCCTAAATATCTTGGAATGAACGTCATTTGATATAGGTCCATTATGACAGTATTTAAGTAGTCAATGTACATACTGCTATTACAATTTGTTCTGTTATAAAAATCTTTTTAAAAAAGACTTACACACTGTGGTTATTTAACGTCCAACTGGAAATCAATTAATTATTTTAAAGTGAGATTGGTTTTAAATATCACTATAAGAAACAATTATCGTATCTATTTAAAGGAATTACAAATGTAATTCAAAATAAATTATAGGTAACTGTTAAGATATTTTCTTAATAAATTATTTTTCTTGTTATTCTCAATGATATCATGTCACAAAGTAGAAGCAGACTTGTGCTTACTAGTGCCTCTGATGATTTAGATAAAGTTGAGCTAAAGATAACTGTATAGAGGCTAGAATTAGTTATAAATTACATAGTAAGTTGCATGTTACCTTGGGATAAATTCACAACAAAATGTAAGTGCCTATTCTTCATGTGAGTTCAATGATAGATGAATTTTCACTTGAGCATCAAATTCTGAGTGCACAAACCATGGAAGACAATTCATATGATGGCATGACTGTTCCTCTCATCACCAACAGGGCAACTACAAAACAAATCTCTATTTTTCAGCTTTGTTAAACATACCTTTAAAAATTGAGTATAGTTTTAAAACCAATTTTTAGATCATAATCACTTTTCTCTGAAAATGAGGTTTAAAATCAGTTTGGTCTAAACTTTTAGCCTCATGAAACAGTTAAGCCATCACAAATGTTTCCATTAAGTGGAAAATTAGTTTATCCATTGATGGGGCAAGCTGGTGAAAAGTAGGACTTTTATAACTGCCAAATTGCACTCTGAGCACAAAATAGCTTGAAAGTAGATAAAACTCTCTGGGGAACTCAAAATCCTTCATTAAATTCAGGTTTTGGTGCAGGAGGTGACTCAATGATCAAAGAGATATAACAAGATTTAACATTTTCATTTTAAAAGTTGAAAGAAATTACAAGACTAGTAGAGTTTCCTAATAGCCTGAAACTTCTAACACTGAATATTTGGGTAAAACACTCTTCAAGAGTTCTATCTTTGAATCCATACAAATATAGCAGCCAAAGTAATAATGTTTCTAAATAGGCCTGGAACCAACTCACTCACACAGAGAATTATAGGTATATGGACTTCAAGTGTCGAATCCAAGCAATGCATATTTCTGTAATGAATTAAATGATTTTTGGATGGTCATTCTGTGATTGATGTCTATGGGAAAACTTTTTTTTTTTCTCCATAGTCATAAATACACATGCACGAAGCAAAAATTACAGGTGTTTTTCAGCATTCCAATATATGTAAAATCACTTTATTTAATACAGCCATTGGGATCCAATTAGTTTACACTCCCCAAATGCTAGGTTTCATTTTGTTATATTACTCCCTGAAGCTCTCATCTTTTTGGTTCACTTTTTATAATAAAGTTTACTTTATCATATATACTAAAATAAAAATATTACAGATATTATCCTCTTTGCACATAAACTTTAAAGGGGGATTTGACAAAATCTGATGGCTTTGCCGGGCTCCTTTTTTTTCCCCCTAACTGAAGCAGAACAGGGCTTCAAAAATGTAACTACTATTGCTAAATGTCACCCAATTTCAGAGGATCTCTGAACATTTGGCAGCTGAAATGAAATTCATATTGGTCCTGGGAGATTTAAAATAAAAGAAGCAAATTAGATGCAAAAGCTAAACGGAAAGTATTTATATTTCCATATTTTGGTAAGGAAAGAGCAGATGGCTTGTGGAACACTCTGGAAATGTGAAAAAGTTGCGCTGTTTAATAGTTTAACAAGAATAGAAAGTAAAGGAGGTAACAATGTGAGAACTGGTCTCTAATACAGAAGTTTTTTAAACTAGTGGTATTGCCTAACTCTTCATAATCCTGTACAGAGTAAAAAAAGGACAAAATAAAAGTGTGCATCATGTTTTCCACCTTCAATGAGTATCTGGGAAACTGCTGACCCCATGGCTACCCTGAGTTTACCTACCCATACACTTTTTTCACTTTCTATATATTCCTTAAAATAGCCTATATATACAACATCACTTAGTGGGTGCTTTTTAGGTTTATCGGGGCTTGTTGACAGCAGAAAAGTTTGACCAGCAAAAACTAGGTTGGAGAAAAGGGATGAGAAATTATCTCAATATATGTATTCCTTAGAGACAATCATAAAAATTTGTATCCAGCAGTTAATAACCATTTTGCACTGAATCAATCCGAGAATTGCATAATACTAAACAGAGAGCATTGTTCATTTTGCCACAATAGGTTTTTTTGAGATTTCAAAATTTAAAACTAAGTGGAAGATTTATAGAAATCATGTGAATGTGTGCTATATCTAATTTTGTGGCATAGTCTTTTTGTTGTTTAGTCTCAGTAATGTATCTTTGATAACACTGATGTAAAAACGATTCTGTTTTCTTACAGGTATACTAATAATTGATTGTAATGATGCATATTGAATAGTGGGAAAATAGCATGACTCATTTGGTGTATGCATAGTGGTTTCAATCAAGTGACAGATTACAAAACTAAATCTATTGGATAATGGACTTTCTTATCTCCTGTAACAGTTTTTATAAAGTAACTTTGCCCCTTAGTTAAGCTTCATCATAACTTCATAGGCTTACCTTCACCTTAAATAGACATAAGCTGCACTAAAAAAAATAAAATATTGAAGCAATAATGGCTGATAGCAAATATTGATAGAATGACGGCATGCACTCAGCCCCCATCATGGCTTTAATAAAACTTAGATAGGGCACAATAGAAAGTATGCAGGTAAATTGTGCTGTAAATCTGAAAAAAATGTCATTATTTCCACTGGAAAAGCATTATCTCAGAGCTTTGCTAGCAGAGTTGTCACAGTGACAACTCTTTTAGTCTGGAGTAAGACTTTCTGGATCTGAATCCTGGCTCTGCCACTCTCTTGTCATTGGAACTTGAGCAAATTACTTGACCCATTTATGCCTCTTTTCTCCCTATATGAAATGTGGAAAATAACAGTATCTCACAGGATTGTTACAAGGATTAAATGAGTTAATATTGGTGAAATGATTACAACAAAGCCTGGAATATGTTAAACACTATGTAAGCGTTAAATAAACACTTACTAAACATGGATTTTCCCCCAAATAACAGCAACAAATGTGTGTCTACTTTGAATGGAGGGTAAGTGAATAAAGTCAATCTTATATTGCTATTTGACTTGATACAATATTTAAGCTAGAATATGTGAGCTAAGAAGACATGCTCATTTTCTGAATCATGTTAGAAGTACAAGGCAATGCAATTGTTATTCAATTGTAACACACTATATAATGCAATATAACATTATAATAAATTTCATGTAGGCAGTGTACAAGTTATAATTATCTCATATTTGAAATACATTTTCTGACAATAATCCTATTTTTAATTGTATATATTTATCGAGTACAATATGTTGTTCTGAAATATGTTTACATTGAATGGCTAAATCAAGCTAATATATGCATTGCCTCACATATGTATCACTTTTTATTGTGACAACACATGAAATGTACTCTTATAGTAATTTTCAAGAATGTAATACATTGTTATTAACTATAGTCACCATGTTATACAATAGGTCTTTTAAATTTATTCCTCCTGTCTAACTGAGTTTTTGTATGTTTTGGGCAACATGTTCCCATGCTCCCACTTCCCAGCCCCTGGTAACCACCATTCTATTCTCCACTTCGATTAGTTCAACTTTTTATGATTCCACATATAAGATCACGCAGTATTTATCTTTCTATGACTGGCTTATTTCACTTAGGATAATGTCCTGAAGGATCATGTGTGATGTCACAAATGACAAGATTTTCTTCTTTTTAAAGGCTGAATAGTATTTCCTTGTATATACACCACATTTTCTTCATCCACTCATCCATTGACACTTAGGTTGATCTCATATCTTGGCTATTGTGAATAATGCCACAATGAGCATGGGAATGTAGATATCCCCTTGACATACTGATTTCAATTCCTTTGGATATGTATCCAGAAGTGGGATCACTGGATTATATTGTAGTTCTATTTACAGTTTCTTTTTTAGGAGCCACCACATCATTTTCCATAATGCTAGTACTGTTACATTCTTACCAAAAATATCCTATAGTTCCCTTTTTCTACACATCCTACCCAACACTTATCTTTCATCTTTTTGATAACAGCAAATATAACAGGTGTGAAAAGGTATTTTATCATGGTTTTAATTTGCATTTATCTGATAATTAGCGATTTTGAGCATTTATGTATCTGTTGGCCATACATGTCTTCTGAGGAATGTTTACTCATGTCTTTGCCCTTATAATCAAGTAACTCATTTTCTTGTTATTGAGTTCTTTATTTCATTAATATTACCTGCTTATCAGATATATGGTTTCAGATATTTTATCACAGTCTGTTAGGTCATCTCTTCACTGTTGACTGTTTTCTTGGCTGTGCAGAAGCTTTTTAGTTAAATTTAGTACATTTGCCCATTTTTACTTTTGTTGCCTGTGCTTTTAGGTTCATATTCAAAAAAATATCGCCCAGACAAATGTTACAGAGTTTTTCTTCTATGCTCTCTTCTTTCATTCTCCTGCATGTGAATATCCAGTTGTCCCAGCACCATTTACTGAAGAGACTGTCCTTTTCTCATGGTGTGTTCTCAATACTTCTGTCAAAAATCAATTGACCATAAATGTGTAGGTTTGTTTGTTAAATTTACTCTTAAGTATTTTTTTTCTGATACCTTTGGAAATAGAATTTTTTTAAGTTTTAGATTGTTTTTAGTGTACAGAAATACTGATTTTTGTATGTTCATTTTGTATCCTGAACTTTTAGTGAGTTTGTTACTTTCAATAGTTTTTTAGAGTTTTTAGAGATTTCTATGTATAAGATAGTATCTCCTGCAAACGGGCAACTTAACGTTTTCCTTTCCAATTTGGATGCTTTTTTTTTTCCTCGTGCCTAATTGCTCTGGCTTGGATTTCCAGTACTATTTTGAAAAGTGGCGAGAGTGGGCATACTTTTCTTCTTTTAGATCTTAGGGAAAAGTTGAAATCTTTTTCTCTAAGTATGGTGTTAACTGTGGGTTTGTTGTATATGGGCTTTTTTGTAGGGAGATACATTCCTTCTATACCTAATTTTTGAATGTTTTTATCTTGAAATATAGTCTTGTTTTATATGATTAATCTGAGGTTCACAAATGTGAATGATTTGTATAAAGCCATATAGCTGGTTGTAATTGTAATACATGGACTCAGACTTCCTATTTGTAAGTCCTAATTCAGTCAGAGACAATGCTATTTAATAGCTGTGTGATCTAGAAGAAAGTAATTGTTTTTAGTGCCTCGTTTTTTCTTAATCTTTAAAATGGGCATACACATATCTATGTTGCAGCGTTATTGAAATCATAAAACTTAGTGTATAAAACACCTGACATACTCAAGGCACAAAATAAATGGCAGCAAGATTTTACTTAATATATATTAGCTAGCAACTATGGTGTAGAGAATAGAATATGTTTATGAAGTGGGTGTTTATGAAGTAGGATGGGTGACAGGTGGTGCAGAGTCTTTTTAGAAAACCACAGTAATAGCTAACATTTATTATGTTATTATGATAGAACAGTTACTATTCTAAGTATTATAGATTTACTGCTTCATCTATTTTGACTATAAACCAAAAAGATAGGTACTACTATATAAATATTACATGTGAGAAAACTATGGGCGCTATGAAATGGTTAAATAATTTACTTATGATTTCATACCTTGTAATAAGTCGGAGGAGAAATAAATCCACAGAGTGCTTCCAGAAAGGAAACTGCTAAGCACTATATACTCTATGCTTTCTCAGCAGACACTGGGAAAGCATTAATGCACAAATACCTACCCTTTATAATCAATTCAATGTTTCTAGATTAAGATTTTCACTGCCTTATCCACTATAAACTATTTGTTAAGGAGGTGAAACACTTATCATCTTTGTATTCTCAGTCTCTCTGTTTAATTGGTTTAATGTCAATTTTTCCAGCTAATCAATTAAACTTTCAGAAAAGACTTGATTCAGAACTTTGACATTACGAAAATTAACTGGTTCTTTGCAGTTTGCTCTTGTATAATAATCTCTTTAGATGTAGCATCATCTGAGGGAGTTTGTGCTGTTTTTTTGAATTAAACATTACTAAAATAGAGTCTAAATCTTCCTAACTCATGAGATAAGAAAACATTAAATTTTGTATGTCTAGTACTTTGGACTATTTTCTCCTCACTGATGTATCTTCTGATCCGGTTAGGCCCAATTAGATATCCTTCATTTTGTAATTCTCAGTCTATTTGTCTGTAAAGACTTCTCTTCCTCTGTGCTGTGTAATAATGATAGTCTGTTTAACATTTTATGCTTTCTCTTTATTTATTTATACCACTGCATGGTGCCACTGGTCATTTTTCAAGTAAACTTTCTCTAATACTATTGCAGAATTGGTAATGAATTTGTATAATTAACCTGAAACCTACAGTGTAAAAACATATGTTCTGATGAGAATTGGGAACCACAATGGTCAGATGCCATCAATAATTTCAGCTAATTTTAGTAGCCTGTCTTAGGTGGCTACTTCAATCCCACTTTAAATGTCTTTGCATGATGGACTAACCAACTATTAAATGCACATAGCAAACTAAAACTGGGGCACTACCCATGATATTTTATAGCATAGTCACCAAAGGAATAACCATTTTCAGGAGGCATAAGAACGATTTTTAAAGTTTTCAACAGCATAACATTTCTTGGCACGTGAGTATCCAAGTTCCTTTGTCCTTTGGTACCATTTTTTTTAAATATTATAGTGTTTCCTCACAGATGTAAAACAAAGCATGATTCAGCTCCTTCTGACTTAGATATTTGTCTTCAGTGAAGCCTGTTTTAAAGGTCGAGAAGACTTTTCATTGTGGATACAATAAAAATAGAGCAACATGAAGCAAAACTTTGCTGTTAGAAAAACGGAGGCTTGGTTGTGCAGTGTGTGAGACAGAAAGTGTCTTGTCTATGAAGCAGCTACAGTTTGTCATAGTATTCTAGAAACCAAATGAACATAGACACGTAGATGTGATTCCACGACATTAACTGTTCATATTGCTTCACTCAAATCAAGCAAGACCTGAAATTATCAAGTTATTAATTTGCTATAAAAATTCTTCCTTTACTTTAGCAAAAAGATTTGAGACTGTCAGCAGAAACTTCCTCCAATAAGTGACACGCAAACATACACACACATACATACAAGCATGCAAACACAAATATTAAGGAATACACCTGCAAATTAGTTTTAAAAACAAATTCATGTTTGGTAAAAGAGCTAAAACACAGTCAAAGCAAATAATTTTTCAGGACGATAAAAGCTCATGAGTCCACTGATTTTTATTTGTCTGTATTTACAGTCTTTGTTTCTGCTATTGTTTTAAGTACCTACATGTTTTCCATCATTTTCAAGGGTATTTCTCTTCAAAGAGTGAATAAAGGTGCAGTTGTGGGTATTTTAAAGAACAGGAGTCTTTGGTAGTTAAATTCAGTTTGTGACTTAACCTCCCATGCAACTTTACAAACTGTCATCAAAGTAAAATCTTAGCAGGGAAAGAAAGAAAAGTCTCAACTTCTCTTTTCACTAATAGCATTTTCAGAGAGTTGATTTAAAAAATCATCTCCCACTTGTAATTTATCACTTACAGACACATTTCTTCTGATTGTGAGATTTATTTGATATAGTGAGCCATAATAATTAGAATTTTTAATGAAATTACAGTAATTTCTGTGACTTGGATTTAGAACTGCCACAAAATGAGTTTTTATTACTACCTAGATTTTATCTCTTCACTGAAGTTTTTATTCACTAAGTTCATTGTATGTACCTTAAATCAGTGGACCCTAAGAAGTCTCCCAGGCTCCTTTGTCTTCACAAAGCTGTAATGGGCTCAGACAGGGATTTTAGAACTGGATCAGACAGAAGAGATATTTTAACACTTTGAGATGTTTAGCATAGAAATGGGCCAAACTATAGCAGAAGGTTTGTGTGGCTTACCAGTCCATACCAGGGTATGAGCCTAGAGGAGAGCCTAGAACTAGTGAAGAATTCCATACCTGTGGTAACAAGCTGTCAGACCACAAAATGGCACAGTAAGAAAAATTCAAATCAAGGTGAGCATGTCCCCCAGAAACAATCATAGAACAGAGCCTCCACATGCTCAGAGTAAAATGGGATGTACTAACCTAGTCCTCTCAAAGAAAGAAACACCTATTTCAACAACCTCAATGCATTTTGTTTCCTTTCCAAATTTAATAGGCATTTTAAAATGTTCAGTTCTCATCCTGCTTAATTTTTCTTTAAATGCATTTTTAGAAAATAACCTCTAGCTACAGCAAAACTATAGTGGCAAAGATTTTATTTCATTAAAATTTTAACAGGACAAAATGACGGGAACAGGCTTCTTAGGCACGTTTCTGGTTTCTACAGAAGGGAATTAACAAGCTGTTGTTTATATCTTTGGTGGAAAAAAAAAAAACTCAAATCAGAAACTGCTTCTTTTCAAGCAGGTGTTTCAGCATATAAAAAGTAGAATTACATCTAATAGCCATATCCCAATACAACTTTCTTTGTTGTTAGATAGTTCTCTCTAAGGATAATAATGCCAGGCAAAGACAGCTGCTAAGGTTTATTTATTTTATTTTATTATTAGTTTTAAACGTTAACCCACTTTTGATTAAATCACTGTAATTGAATTTGTTGCCTATGACATACAAAGATAAACACAAGTTGATTCAGGTGATTTTCTCAGAAGTGCTGCCCTGCTGCTATCCACTGGAGTCCTCCACGCCTGTGTATAAAAATAACATAGGGCTGGGTACAGCGGCTCGAACCTGTAATCACAGCACTTTGAGAGGCTGAGGCAGGTCAGGAGCTCAAGACCAGCCTGGCCAACATGGCAAAACCCCATCTGTACTAAAAATACAAAAATTAGCCAGGTGTGGTGGAGGGTACCTGTAATTCCATCTACTCAGGAGGCTGAAACACGAGAATCACTCGAACCCAGGAGGCGGAGGTTGCAGTGAGCCAAGGTCGTGCAAATGCACTCCAGCCTGGGCAACAGAGTGAGACTCTGTCTCGGGGAAAAAAAAAAAACAAAAAGCTTAGATTCTGCTGGTCTGTGTATCTGTATTTCATCAACCTCTTAACTCTCTGTACTGTGTTTCTCTGTGTCAATTATAAGACTCTTGTTTTGTATATTGATAAATCTTGATAAATTACATTTTTTAAATTCTAAAACAATAAACATTTTAAAAAGTAATTTGATTTTTTAAATGTGGGTGTGAATTCTATTTTGCTATTTCTTTATTCTGTTTATCATTTTTATTATCACTTTCTTTAGTTTTAAATTTAAGATTCTTCATATGAAAGTTTAGATAATTTATTTGTACTTTTCCTTTTTACTATATAAAGTCATAGATATATATTTCTCTCTAAGCACTGTTTTGGCCTCATTGATAAAGTGTTAACATGTCAACTTTTATTTTATTCTGGTTCAAACATTTTCAAAATGCCAGGTTGATTTCTTATTTCATCAATGGGTTATTCAGAAGTAAACTATAATTTCCAATCAGTTGGGCAAATAAGTTTGCTAGAGATTTCAATATAAATAATAATCTTTACTTCTAGTAGTACTTGTAAGTTTGCAGAAAAATTGAGCAGAAACCATAAAGCAGCCATATAATTCCTTACTGACTCCAAAGTACTTTCCTTATTATTAACATCTTGCATTAGTTTACACATTTTTAGAATTTATAAGCTGTTAACATACATTATTATTGACTAAAGTTTGTAGTTTACACTGGGATTTACTTTTTGTATTGTAAATTCAATGGGTTTTGCAAAGATTTTTCTTACTCTGTGGTTTATCTGTTCATTATATTAACAGTGTCTTTCCCAGAAAAGTTTTTAATATTGTTTAATTTATAAATCCAATTTACCAATTTTGTATGCTTTGTGCTTTGGTGTTATTTTTAAAAAGTCATCACTAAACACAAGATCATCCAGTGTTTCTTCTGTGTGTTTTTTTTTTTTTTTGGATAAAACATATAGTTTTGCATTTTTCATTTGGGTCTATTATCCATTTTGAAGTAGTTTTCATAAAAGCTGTAAGGTCCTGGTCTATATTTATTTTTTTCCATGTGAATGTCCAGTGGTTCCAACATTTATTGAAAAGACTACCCTTTCTTCATTGAATTGCCTTTGCTCCATTGTGAAATATTAGTTGACAACATTTATATTTATCTATTGGGCTGTCTGTCCTGTTCTATTAATCTATTTGTCTATTCTTTCACCAATACCACACTGTTTTGATTACTAGAGCTTTACAGTAAGCTTTAAAGTCAGTGTCAATCCTCTAACTTTGTCCTTCTAATATTGCATTGGCTATCCTGGGTCTTTTGAATTTGAAAACATCTGTTATTTACATGAACTATTTTATACTCAAAAACATTAATTCTTCTATTATTCCATGTTTTATTTGTTCTTTCATTTCTTCATACTATACTAGCTATCAAGTTTTATACTTCTTATGCCTTGAGACTTCCCAGAATCTTCTATGTAAACAATCAACGAGAGGATAACAAACGAAAAGCCTCCCTCAAGCCAACAACATCTTTTAGTTATTATTGTTTCATATTTTGTTCTTTAATAGTCAAGGTCCCCAACAAAGTAGTTTACACAGCTTTTTTTCCACCAACTTATTTTCTCATCTTTAGACTGCTCATCAGACATCATTTATTTTTTATTGTTAGCATGTCTATGTCATTTCTCCATCTAGATATCAACAATGTATCTTTGTTCCCTCGAATCTGGGCTGGCCTTAGAAACCAACAAATGCATGTTCAATTGCCATTTTCAAGGTTAGTTTACAGAAACCTTGCAGCCTCTGCATAGGCGACATGGAACATTCCTGTCATATTTAAAGTTAGACACCTGAGACCTCCATGCTGTGTAAAGCCAAGCCATCTGGAAAGGCCCTGAAGAATGAGATGCTATGCCAAGAGAAAAAAAAAAGGCTAAAGGGCCAAGTAAGCCATTAGAAGAAAATTATCCAGCTCCAGCTGTCTCTACATGAATAAGACAAAATAATGGCCAGTGGAGCCTTCCTCACAGCTTGACCCACAAACTATTGAACAATTTTCTTAAGTGTTCCAGGTGATTTATTTAATGACCTTTGCTTAAGTTGATTTATATCAAATCTGATTTATATATAAATCTGGACTTACTGCTCTTCAATACTACCCTTAGGTGGAAAACCAAATAGACAAACCTAAGAAAGCCTGGTATGCTAACCTAGCATAGGGACAGCTGGCTAAGGTCACCTGGAAATTCTCTGAAGTCAGGAAGCACCCCACAGTTATTAAAAAAAAGAAAAAAAAAGCTCATGCCTGTAATCCCAGCACTTTGGGAGGCCGAGGCGGGCGGATCACGAGGTCAGGGGATGGAGACCATCCTGGCTAACAGGGTGACACCCCATCTCTACTAAAAATACAAAAAATTAGCTGGGCCCGGTGGCGGGCACCTGTAGTCCCAGCCTGTAGTCCCAGCTACTCCGGAGGCTGAGGCAGGAGAATGGCACGAACCCGGGAGAGCTTGCAGTGAGCCGAGATCACGCCACTGCACTCCCCCCTGGGTGGAAGAGTGAGACTCCGTCTCAAAATAAATAAACAAATAAATAAATAAAGTAAGTTATAAATACCACATGGCTAGGACAGTATGAGAAATTCAGGATGAAATATAAACAAATTCATCCCCATGATTTAATCACCTCCCAGCAGGTCCCTGCTCTAACACTGAAGATTACAATTCAACATGAAATTTGGGTGGGGACACAGAGCCAAACCATATCAATGGGTCAAAACCTAGAAATACACAAACCAGGAAGGACCTAATATAGTGGTAAAACTGTGTGTAAACACTCTAGGACCAAGTCATCTTCAAGAATTGTGGGAATACGTTTTAGGCCTCAAAGACAATGGAATATGTATAACTAAGGCCACAGAGTTTCATACATCAGTTTCTTCTTGGAAAGACAACTGGCCAATATCCAAGAATGACTTGATTGAAGTGTACAGCTTAATTAAAAACACCTGGTTGAAAGAGGACAAAGAGGGAAGATAGTTCCTGACATCTGCATTTGAGTTACATGGACACAGCTTTTATTTCAGAATGTTATAAACCGTTTTTAAGGATGCAAAGTACGTAGTTAATACCTATCCATATTTTAGTAGAACGTCCCACACATATGTTAAAATAATTTTTACAGTGAATTCACACATTTGTTATACAATATTTTTAAAATTTAAAAACCATGTTTTAAAACTCTGAGTACATTGACAATTTTGCTAAAATGTTTTCTCTATGGCTTAAACATATTCTGAGATTCTTGCTTATAGAAAAACACCTGGAATTGTAAATTGTTAGCATGTTATAAAATCTGCTTGTTTTATCACAGTTCCCTTCTTGCTAATTGTCCACCAAAGGCTGGTAGAGGCTTTGGGTAACTTTTCTGCAATTCAGCAGTTAAGGCATGATTTCCCATAGGTTAGTAGAATAAGGAGGCCCTTGCTTTCTACACCAAAATCCATATTGACAACTTGCCATAGGCCTGAGGGCTAAACCTAATTAGCAGAGCTTCATTTCCCAAAATAAATTAATTCAATCTAAACTTGGCTTAAAATGACTGAACTCTTAACAGAACATGTGAAAAAAAAACACTTCTAACAGCTCAGTGACTTTGATTATAGAGTCTTGTCAGGTTTTCTTGTACTTAGGCAATATCAGAGAAGCCAGTGGAATCTGTTGAGACACTTTCAATCTGTTTTCCCTTCATAGTCTGACCCCTACTTCACTACCCCAGTTCATCCTCCACTTTGTCACACATGACAAAACTACATATATACTTTGCGGTTGTCTATTTGTATGTATTTGTATACCTGGTTACACACTGCCTCCTCCATTTGAAATGCTTTCCCCTCACTAGAATTTCTGGAAATCTGAAAACACTTTGTCACTTGAATCTCTGCTCTGAATGGATCTCTTCCTAAAATATTGCTTACTTCCCCTGTTTGAAGTGTCTGTGCTTGTACATCATCTTCTATCACAGCAATTATCTTACATCATTGCTGATGTTTTACGGTTGTTTGTCCAGTAGAATTCAAGCTCCCAGAAGTTAAGAATATTATTTTTCCCTTTGAAACTGACCCAAGCTCTCCCTCTCCCTCTCCCTCCCCCTCCCCCTTCCCCTCCCTCTTCCCCATGGTCTCCCTTGCCCTCTCCCTCTCCCTCCACGGTCTCCCTCTGATGCCGAGCCGAGGCTGGACTGTGCTGCCACCATCTTGGCTCACTGCAACCTCCCTGCCTGATTCTCCTGCCTCAGCCTGCCGAGTGCCTGGGATTGCAGGCGCGCGCCGCCACGCCTGACTGGTTTTCGTATTTTTTTGGTGGAGACAGGGTTTCGCTGTGTTGGCCGGGCTGGTCTCCAGCTCCTAACTGGGAGTGATCTGCCAGCCTCAGCCTCCTGAGGTGCCGGGATTGCAAACGGAGTCTCACTCACTCAGTGCTCAATGTTGCCCAGGCTGGAGTGCAGTGGCGTGATCTCGGCTCGCTACAACCTCCACCTCCCAGCCGCCTGCCTTGGCCTCCCAAAGTGCCGAGATTGCAGCCTCTGCCCGGCCGCCACCCCGTCTGGGAAGTGAGGAGCGTCTCTGCCTGGCTGCCCAGTCTGGGAAGTGAGGAGCGCCTCTTCCCGGCCGCATCCCGTCTAGGAAGTGAGGAGCGTCTCTGCCCGGCCGCCCATCGTCTGAGATGTGGGGAGCGCCTCTGCCCCACTGCCCCATCTGGGATGTGAGGAGCGCCTCTGCCCGGCCACCCCGTCTGTGAAGTGAGGAGCCCCTCCGCCCGGCAGCCGCCCCGTCCGGGAGGTGTACCCAACAGCTCATTTAGAACGGGCCATGATGACGATGGCGGTTTTGTTGACTAGAAAAAGGGGAAATGTGGGGAAAAGACAGAGAAATCAGATTGTTGCTGTGTCTGTGTAGAGGGAAGTAGACGTAGGAGACTCCATTTTGTTCTGTACTAAGAAAAATTCTTCTGCCTTGGGATGTTGTTAATCTATAACCTTACCCCCAACCCCGTGCTCTCTGAAACATGTGCTGTGTCCACTCAGGGTTAAATGGATTAAGGGCAGTGCAAGATGTGCTTTGTTAAACAGATGCTTGAAGGCAGCATGCTCTTTAAGAGTCATCACCACTCCCTAATCTCAAGTACCCAGGGACACAAACACTGCAGAAGGCGGCAGGGCCCTCTGCCTAGGAAAACCAGAGACCTTTGTTCACATGTTTATCTGCTGACCTTCCCTCCATTATTGTCCTATGACCCTGCCAAATCCCCCTCTCCGAGAAACACCCAAGAATGATCAATAAATACTAAAAAAAATAAATAAATAATAAAATAAATAAATAAATAAATAAATAAAAAGAAACTGACCCAATAGTCCCATAGACAGATTTTTGTGTGTGTGTGTAGACATAGAAACCGACCCTTCTGGTCTTAAGGCTTGAAATTTATATTTATTTTATCTGAGTTTCTTCCTCAGGAAAGGACCCCCAAGTCTCTCAAAAAGTATCAAAGAACTGAAACTCACCAGATCATCTCATCCAGATGAGACACCAGGCCCATCATTCATCATGATTGCTTCCTTAGGCCTCCAGAGTTCCTGTTTTCCTACACATTGTTACATTTCTTCCCTACTATATTAACACCTAATATTAGTTGGTGGGGAGAAGGATCTGAGACTGAGCTCCCATTTGCTCAGCTGCAGCACCTGATTAAAGCCTTCTTCCTTGGCAATACTTGCCTTCTCAGCCGTTGGCTTTCTCTGCAGTGAGCAGCAGGACCTAGAACAAACCCTTGGTTGTTCGGTAACACTTTGATTTCCAAACAGACCATTGAATAGACATTCAGTATGTATTTGCAGAATTAATACATAATATGAAGCCAAAATCTTTTCAGAATATTATAGAACAGGACAGGCACTAGGTGATGAGAACTTCGCTAGGACAGGTACTGCATCTTGATGTATATATCGTCACCTTGAGGTGGGATAGAGATCAAATCTAGTAGACAACATTATATTGAGCCCTAATTACAACTTGAATGATACCTACCGTAATGTAAAATTTTCAGATTAATTTAGTTTCAACATTACTTTTTAGATTCTCTTCCAAAAGTAGAGTGACGATAGTTGCCTGATCTATACAAAAGTGATTCTAGGCTATACAAGTATTTTTTCCACATATAATGTAGGTGTGGAAAGTTTAGTCTCCTATATAAGTGGTCTCTCCAAAGTGTGGCACACATTCCCCAATTTTATTCCACTGAGGAGTAGGAATAAATTCTATTTCTGCTATTCTAAATAAAATAGAAAGAATGAGCCTTTACAAGTATTTATATTACAGATTTACTCTAATACCCTCATGTAGCCTCTATATAAGAAAACCTGATACGTCTTAAGCATAGTGCCTAGTACAGATTTTGTGTTCTGTAAATTGTGCTTAGTTTAATGTGCAATACAGTGTAGCTTTTATTATTTTTGTAAAAATATAAAGTTATTTTTATAATAGTAAATAACGTTCTTAAAAGAGAATAGGCATGAAGCAATAATCTTATTCCATACTGTTTTTACTATCCATTTCATTCAAAACCTTCACTCACAAATCATTTACTGAGAACTCATCATGAGTCAGATGCTCCTCTCACAGTGTATCAAGAAACAAAATCCCTAAGATCTCTTTCTTAAAGAAGTTACATTCTAGCAAGAATAGTTTCATCAATAAACATATATATTAGTAAATTATATGTAGCATAAAAATAGTAATAAAACTATGGAATATATGAAAATGAAGAGCAGAGTAGGAACAATAATTGGAAGTGAAACTGGTGGGGTCAAATAGGTTGCAATAGAAAATCTGGTGGTGTTTTCTTGCTGCTTTGGTTGACACCATTTACTATATTCAAAATCATGATCATTACCTTGCTAAGTTTTCTTAAATACTAAGAACTATCTTAAAAAGAACTCAGTTCTGTATTTCCATCCATCTGTAGAGAAGAAAACAACTGCTTTTACTATTGAATTTTTGAGCTCCTTAAATGAGATATATGTTGGTTGAATTGACCTAATCAACTACCCCTTTTAAGTAGTGTTGAAAACCTCATATTCCATAATCAACTTTGTGAGAGAATAAACAGGGACAGGCTGGGTTATACATTAAAAAAGGATAAACTTTCTATCAACTTAATAATTACACAACTTATAATGACAAAACTGAATTTCCCATCAACTTAATTATACAATAAGCAGAAAATAAGTTACTATTTAGTGAACATTCATTTTGTGTAGGCATATTATGCACTTTAAGTAATTTATTTCATTAATTCTTCAGAATTGCCATGTGGTAATTATAATCCTTTTACAATTGAGGAAATCAGGTTTCAAGGAAGTGAAGGAACTGTCTACAGTTATACTTAGATTAACAGGGCTGAAACGTAAATCCAGCCTATCTGACTCCAAAGTTAATGGCCTTTTCACGACAGCTTCAAATATTCTTTGTCTTCTACATTCTTCTTTCAATTCTAATAGCAACTGAAATAGTTCTAAACAGAATGGAAGCCTGATCTTGATATATCTGTACTATTCTCATTTTCACACTTTAGGTTCTTATGTAGGACAAAGATAAAAATTCAATTTTTCTTGAATTTTTGCAACAGTTGAGTCATTTTTATATGTGAAGAATACTTTCCTAAAATAAGAAACAAGTGCCCATTTCTTTCATTACTCTTTTGTGGTGTCACAGACTTGCTAATTAGCTCTCTCTCCCAACTCCTGTGACATTTTACTCTGACTTAGGTCACAGTGACTCACACATGAAAGTCAGTGATTGAAATGGTGATGCCCAAAAAGGATAGTCAACGATGAAATACGATAGTATTTTTTCCTAACAGTTGAATGATATAATGTTATCTGCACTAATTTTCCAGTGCTATTGTCTTTAGAATGAATCACCTGTCAAGGCCCATATGTTAAAATTGGCTCTTTTACTGCAAGCTACTACATTCATTTATAATTAATCTTACTAAATGTGGGGTAAAAGGATCAAAAGTTGTATTATACTAGTCATCGTATGCCTTGTTTGCAACAAAAAAATAGTATAAATTGTTATTTATTCCAGGCATTGTGTGTGTATGCATGCATTTGTGTGTACTTTCATTTTATTCTTACACTCACACAAAAGATTTTAGTGATGAAGGAAAAGCAAAAACAGGGTTACTGACCTATATACCTAGAGATACTGTTACATGGCTGGAAATCAGAACTACGTTTTCACACGATAAATACATCATCTACTACACTATCTCCTTTCTGGTAGTAGCGTAAACTTCCTAGCATTTAGTCAAAGTGACTATTTCTTCAATATGCTTTTTTTTTTTTCAAAGATAACTTAATATGGTTCCACTAGACATGTGGTTTTCGAAGTACGTTCTCCAGACTTCTAGGCATTTCAGAGAAACTTTCAGGGAACTGTTTTGTCACAACAATTTTCATAATAACACTAACACATTATTTGTCTTTCTCACTGTACTAGTATTTACACTAATTGTACAAAAGCAATGGTGGAAAAATGATTGGTGCCTTAGGCAGTAGCATCAAACTATATGATCACTGCACTCCTTACCTCTACACACTTAACAGTAAAAATAGTATCAATAAGCAATAAATCAATAAACTGCTAGCTAACCAAACAAAAGCTACTTATAAGTTGCATACACTGATAAAGCAAGAAAAATGTATCACGTCAACTACTGCCTCTTTAGCACTTAACTTTTAACATTCTGCGGGAAAAATGGATAGTGTACAGGAAGCACATCTGCTGCAAGCCAGAGTACAATATTATTCCCCAATAAAGAACTTGTATGATTGTTTTGAGTTGTGAAATGAACTAGCTGCTTTTTTCATGCAATATCATTTTTATTTGAAATAATGACTGAGAGTCAAACAATTATTCAGATTTGGGTAATCAGCTAAAATGTTCTTGAGAACAAATGAAGTAAACCTGTCATTTCCCACACACAAAAACTGACAATGACTAAGGATAAAATTCCAGCTTCTGAGAAAAAGCTGTAATTTGGAAAAATTATCTTTGTCATAATGAATTTGACAGTTTCCTAAGACATAGTACAAGAATTTCAGATATCAGATTCCACATCTTACCTAATTTTTAAGAAAGCACTACTGAGAAAGTTGTTGAATTTTGGTGTAGTATAAAAGTGTAACATCCATCATGTTCTAAAAAAGGCTATCAAAATATGTATTTATTTTTTAACTATGTATCTGTGTGTCTGGATTTTTTTTTTCATGTTGCAGGACTTTCCCTTAGGTCAGCTAAAGACAGGGTCCTTGTCCATCCCACAGCCATGAAAATTTAGGCTCACAGACAATTGGAGGGGGTGAGTAAAGCAGGGTTCTGTTGGGTGAAAAAGAAGAAAACATGGAAACAGGGACTCTCACAAGGCCAGAGTGTCTCTGCTAGAGCATTTTCCGCCTGCAGTTTCAATCCAAGATTCCACACAGGAAGAGAAAGGGCCAGGCTCCTCCCCACTGTAAATGCTGTAAACTTCCCGAGGCTCCACCTCAGTGGGCAGGCTGGTTGGAGTTTCTCCAGGGATCCCCTCCCACCTGGCTCTCTCAATGCCCACTGTGAAGAAGTATATCTAACTGCCTTTAGATTAAGGATAAGGATGAAGACCATATTAACTGCTTCCTGCTGACAGGGGGCACTGTTTTGGGGAAATGGCAGTCAGAGCTCCCTCAGAGGCCCAGCAGAAGAGGCCATCGTCAGAGGCTCTGGTTGCATGACCATTTGGAGTTTGATGGCCTGAAGTAAAGAACAGTCAAACCAGGTCACTAGAAAACATGTATCAAAATGCAACAAAGGCAGGGGTAAGGACAGCTCAAAAATTCTGAGGTCTTTTACCAGTTTGCACAGGGAGAAGGGAGGGCAAAATCCCACCTGGATGAAAAAACTTTACCCTTTTGCTAGCATGTTGGACTTCTGGGAGTCCCTTCCCCTGAGCCCAATCCTAAGCCAGCCAGTTTAAGGTTTGGGAAATTAACTCCGTCTAGTTTGGAGAATGCATCTGAGGAGAGTGTCCTGTTAGTACAGACACATAATTGCCATCAGTGAAGAGAGGACAGAGGAGAAGAAAGGAAAAAAACAAGGTGTTTTTTCAAAGGAGTCCCAGGGGTCCTGGATGCATTCTAAAGGAGTACAGAGTGAAGATGAATGGCTACTCATACAGAAAGAGAGGAGCAGACATCCCTGGTTCCCTTCTCTTCCTAGCAGATACCTGGGGGGTACATGACAGAGAGGGGAAAGAGCATCCTCTTTCCCTTCTTCTGTCCTTGCATCCCCGAGTCCCAGTGACCTTGGCAGGTACCACCGTGAGTGCCAAAGCAGCTTGTACCCATCAAACATGGGGGCCTAGAGACTAGGCATTACCAGCTCTCACCTAAATCTCCTTCCACCTACTGTCAGTAGCCTTGGAGTTTCCTAGACCCCATTTATACCATGGATACTAGCGTGGCCTTTATCCATGAAACAGGAAGCTTGGGCTTGGCTTAATAGGCAAGAACCAGCCACGCTCACCTGTCCTGTGCCTTTTAACTTCTGTTGACATTTGCCTCTGGATTCCTCAGATCTAGTTTTTTTTCCTAGGGCTTTGATCCAAAGCTTGGAATTCAGTTTTGGACAAAGATATGTCTCAGGGGGGTTGCACAGATGGCTTATCATAAGCCAAATACTAAGATGAAACCGTGGAACTGAATTCTCCTCTAACAAGGGAGAGAAAAGGATGTCTTGTGACACACCCAGCTAACTGGTGGCTATAGTTATGCTTGCTAGGATTTGGTTACATGGTACTCGTCTTTGGTTAGTTCCCTTCGTTTTACTTTCCCAAAAAGGAAACCTACTTTCCCAGAAAGGCACCCAATTTATTCCCATTGAGAGGTGACAGCGTGCTGGCAGTCCTCACAGCCCTCGCTCGCTCTCAGCACCCCCTCTGCCTGGGCTCCCACTTTGGCGGCACTTGAGGAGCCCTTCAGCCCACCACTGCACTGTGGGAGCCTCTTTCTGGGCTGGTCAAGGACAGAGCCGGCTCCCTCAGCTCGCAGGGAGGTGTGGAGGGAGAGGCGCGAGTGGGAACCGGGGCTGCGTGCAGGGCTTGCAGGCCAGCTGGAGTTCGGGGTGGGCCTGCGCTTGGCGGGCCCGCACTCAGA
Organism: Homo sapiens; assembly: GCF_000001405.40. Lineage (NCBI taxonomy): Eukaryota > Metazoa > Chordata > Mammalia > Primates > Hominidae > Homo > Homo sapiens. The sequence goes on along the minus strand of NC_000011.10, from coordinate 98,763,699 downwards.
GCAGCCGGCCGGCCCTGCCAGCCCCAGGCAATGAGGGGCTTAGCACCTGGGCCAGCAGCTGTGGAGGGTGTACTGGGTCCCCCAGCAGTGCCAGACCACCTGCGCTGCGCTCGATTTCTCACCGGGCCTTAGCTGCCTTCCCCGCGGGGCAGGGCTGGGGACCTGCAGCCCGCCATGCCTGAGCCTCCCACCCCCTCCATGGGCTCCTGTGCGGCCTGAGCCTCCCCGATGAGCACCACCCCCTGCTCCACAGCGCCCAGTCCCACCGACCACCCAAAGGCTGAGGAGTACGGGCACAAAGCACCGGGACTGGCAGGCAGCTCCACCTGCAGCCCCGGTGCGGGATCCACTGGGTGAAGCCAGCTGGGCTCCTGAGTCTGGTGGGGACGTGGAGAACCTTTATGTCTAGCTCAGGGATTGTAAATACACCAATCGGCACTCTGTATCCAGCTCAAGGTTTGTAAGCACACCAATCAGCACCCTGGGTCTAGCTCAGGGTTTGTGAGTGCACCAATCGACACTCTGTATCTAGCTACTCTGGTGGGGCCTTGGAGAACCTTTTATGTCTAGCTCAGGGATTGTAAATACACCAATTGGCACTTTGTAGCTAGCTCAAGGTTTGTAAACACACCAATCAGCACCCTGTGTCTAGCTCAGGGATTGTGAATCCACCAATCGACACTCTGTATCTAGCTACTCTGGTGGGGCCTTGGAGAACCTTTGTGTCGACACTCTGTATCTAGTTAATCTAGTGGGGACGTGGAGAACCTTTGCGTCTAGCTCAGGGATTGTAAACGCACCAATCAGCACCCTCTCAAAACAGACCACTCAGCTCTACCAATCAGCAGGATGTGGGTGGGGCCAGATAAGAGAATAAAAGCAGGCTGCCCCAGCCAGCAGTGGCAACCAGCTCGGGTCCCCTTCCACACTGTGGAAGCTTTGTTCTTTCGCTCTTTGCAATAGATCTTGCTACTGCTCACTCTTTGGGTCCACACTGCCTTTATGAGCTGTAACACTCACTGCGAAGGTCTGCAGCTTCACTCCTGAAGCCAGCGAGACCACGAGCCCACCGGGAGGAACAAACAACTCCAGACGTGCCGCCTTAAGAGCTGTAACACTCACTGCGAAGGTCTGCAGCTTCACTCCTGAGCCAGCAAGACCACGAACCCACCAGAAGGAAGAAACTCCAAACACATCTGGACATCAGAAGGAACAAACTCCAGACACGCCGCCTTTAAGAACTGTAACACTCACCGCGAGGGTCTGCGGCTTCATTTTTAAGTCAGTGAGACCAAGAACCCACCAATTCTGGACACACCATCACCTGGCAGGATGTGCAGGATAATCGCTCAGAACTAGAATATTAATCCAGATTTTTACATTACACATCCCTCTTGTTCTTTCTGAGTTGCAGCCAGAGACTGCTGGTTGGCTCACAGGAACAAGCAGGGTTCATCTAAAATGTAGGCAAAAACTTAACTAGTGAGTTTAAAATTTAATGACGGCCAGGCGTGGTGGCTCACACCTATAATCCCAGCACTTTGGGAGGCTGAGGTGGGCAGATCACCTGAGGTTGGGAGTTCGAGACCAGCCTCACCAACATGGAGAAACCCTGTCTTTACTAAAAATACAAAATCAGCTGGGCGTGGTTGAACATGCCTGTAATCCCAGCTACTTGGGAGGCTGAGGCAGGAGAATCACTTGAACCTGGGAGGCGGAGGTTGCAGTGAGCCGAGATTGCACCATTGTACTCCAGCCTGGGCAATAAGAGTAAAACTGCATCTCAAAAAAGATAAATAAACAAAAATTAATGACAAATGTATAAGTTTTGAAACAGTTTTTCTCTCAAGTCCTGATTTTTGTTTAAAAAAAAAATCATCATAAGACTGAGTTGTTTGCAAAACAGACTTTAGTCTTATACTTGGCCTGGTTATTGGTATAAAATGTAGCAAGAGTAACTATTTCTACATAGGCCTTTTCGATTGGCTTTGATGGAAGTTTGTCCCATAAAGAATATCAGATAAGACCCTTTAAAGCTGAGCCTAACCATGGGTTTCTATTCTCAAACACCTGTGAGTTGGGTGATTCTCTCCTTTTAAGGTCCCAAGATAAACTTGGAGCTCCTAGACCTGTTAGAAAGTGAGCGGAGATCGCACCACTGCACTCCAGCCTGGGCAACAGAGTAAGACTCTGTCTCAGAAAAAAAAAAAAAAAAAGAAAGACAGAAAGTGACATTATTTACTGACCACAGGACAGGAACCCTGTACAGGGATTGTGTAGATGAGAGTATGAGGCCAGTTTCCCCATTGGCTTTTTATTGGTTCTGCAAGTTGAGATTGACTCCCCAAAGGGAAGCATACCCTTCCAGTCAAAGCCTTGGTAAAATAACCATTTTCCCCAATTGTGTCCTGTTGCAAAAGAAAAACAGATACTTATTGCACTGATGCAAAGACCTATATTACCATAAAATTAAGAATACTCACAGATAGGTTCTAAATTCTGGAGGAACCAGGCAGAGAGAAACAAACATGCCCCAAATTTTGATTACAGGATTATAACTTGCTTAATTATTAAAGGTCATAAATAGTTGAAAATAAGTTTCTTTGATGCTAAAAAACAAGGATAAGCAATATTACAAGCAAAGTTTAAAGAGATTGCTTCAGCTTTCTGAGTTCAGTCCATTTAAACTTATTTTGCTTGACATTTGTGAACATTTGAGCTTTTTTTTAGTCCTGTACATTTTCATTTATTAAAAAGTTACAATCTCCAAAGTTATCAGAAGTCTGTATTTCAGAGTACCTGTTAAAGTTCTACAGCTTATTACATACCATGTTTTGAAAAGAATTAAAATAAGAGCAACATGTCCAGGGTAATTACAGTTAGAAACACAATTGACAAAGAAGCTGGGTCATCTCCATGGTTTACAACAACATAACGAAAACCTTAATTATGATTGATAGCATATATTCAGAGATTAGAGCTTTAGAAATCCCACACAATTTTGGAACATATATCAGCATTATTCATCAAGATATAACCTAAAGCAGATTGAAACATCATTTTGGCAATCCCATGTACCTAAACATGTCAAATAATCTTGTTTACCTCTCTTTTCTAAACACTTCAGGGGCCCTCTGAAGTATTAGAAAAGCCAGATGCCAGGGAAGACAATGTTGAAACTGAAGTTTGATTTTGAGAATCACTTGATATTATGATATATAATTCCAGATTACCATACATTATTTATTTTGCCAAAATGACGACTCAGACATTTTAAAGAAGCAAAAACCTTTTATAACCCTTTATAAATTATGCCAAAGAGCAGATTAGAGTTTTAAGAATACCTTGTTGTGCTTTTATTTCAACGCTCAATTTACCAGAAAACCACATAATACCCTTTTCTGAATTTAGTCAATATGTTCACACAGAGAACCTCTTCTGCAAGATTCCCACAATTCTTCCACCACTTCTTTGAACCTTCAGCTTTTTCCTGATTTAACTCAAAACCATCCTTTAACCCTAGGTAAAAGTTTATTTTCCATGCCTTCTTATAACCTTTTACTAAAAAACACATTTTACTGTTTTTATACACCTTGCATGCAAATCTGTTTCTCATAGATTCAATTAACTCCTAGCAATTTTTAACTTTAAGGTAAAACTTGGTAAGTTGCTTTAATTGTGTGCTAACTGCAGCCAAGATTTGCCTTCTTAAGAGTGTGGCTAGTTTCCTATGTCTTCAGGCCTTACTATTTGTGAAGCCAGCAAGTCAGAGTTCTCAAAATCCAAAAAGGAGTTTGTAACCTTAAAACATTTAGAAAACCTGGGCTCTGACCTGCATAATTAAGCCCACTATTTACATTTTAGTGACATCTGCATTTTACCAATACTCTTTAAGGCTATTTTATTTCTCAAAGATTAAAGTCAGGTGAACTGAAAGGTACTGCAGCTTTTATCTTTCCTTAAAGAAAATACTTGATCCAAGCACTTTTCTTTAGGCCAAATTAATTAGAACTCATTTTACAGACATCACACACAGTACACACACAGACAGGCAGAAGAAAACCCATTCACTGGGTGGGGCCCTTTAAGCGACAGGGCTAAGAGAACATGCAGATATCAAACAGAAAGAAACTTATTCCGTAAAGGAGGATTGCTAAACCAAGTCTTGCCACCTCACCGGGAGTTACAAGCCATGCTCCCAGGATGCAAAACAAGATGGAGGCTTAGAAGTTTGTTAGAAACCATACAGACATGCAAACCACACCAGATTGGCCGCAACCCAAGACCAGCCCCGCAAATCCTTTTTTACAATTAAAGCTTTACAGAACATATAAACGGTGATAGGTGGGGGGCCTGGCTTAGTAAAGGGGAAAAACTTTAAAGGTTAACTGTTGACAGGGTGAAGAAGAGGAAAGAAAAAAAAAGTTTAAAAATGCCTGGGGAAAAACCTCTTATTCTTATGCAAGTCATTCCTCCACCAGGGAGAAAAGTTTAATTACTGTCTGATGGAGCTGAATCTCTTGGCCACGGAAGGAGAAGGCTCTAGCGGTTCACAGGGGAAAGCACCAGCCAGCAGCCCCAGGTGCCTTAGGTCAGGAATCTAAGCCCAGCAGGGAGTGCGGGGTGAAGGGGAGCTGCTGCTCACAAGTTGGTCTTGAAAAGGGAAAGAAAAGGCCATGAAAAGGCGCAGGAGCGATGGGGGCTGGGGGAATGGTTTCCCCCATCTTCAGAAGTCCGAGGATGAAAAGGCTTAGAAGCAACCGTGAGAGGTTTTGAGTTCTCATTTTACTAAAAGCTTCTCCAGCCCCATGTTGGGCACCAAAAATGTTGCAGGACTTTCCCTTATTTCAGCTAAAGATAGGGTCCTTGGCCATCCCACGGCCACAAAATTTTAGGCTTGCAGATGGCTGGATAGCTTGAGTAAAGCTGGGTTTTATTGGGTGAAAAAGAAGAAAAGGGGGACACAAGTATTCTTGAAAGGCCAGAGTCCCTCCGCTAAAGCACTTCCCACTGGCAGCTTAAATCCCAGATTCCACACAGGAAGAGAAAGGGCCAGGCTCCTCCCTGCTGCAAAAGTTGTTAACTTCCCAAGGCTCCACCTCAGTGAAGGGTGGAGTTTCTCCAGGCACCCCCTCCCACCTGACTGTCTCATTCATAGACTGCAACTAATGCAGCATGATTCAATGGATTGAAACTGGAAGTACCTGTAAGAATTCATCTGTCTTCAATGAACCAGATATTAAAGTGTTTTCCATAAAAGTAAAAATCGTAGTCACTCTTTTTGTTAATTTTTTGGAAAACATATTAACAAATATATTGTGTATGTTAACATGCAATATGTTTTTACTTAAAAATAGACATTGTTACACTAAGTTTTAATTTTCTGTATGGTAAACATTGATAGATGCAACCCACATAAACAAAGTCTGCAGGCCCTCAATATTTTTTAAGGTAATTTTAAACTTTTATTTCTGAAAAGCAATGCAAAGCCCAAGGTAGTAAGCTAAGAATTTACTAACAAAATTTAAGCTCCCTACTAATATCTTAAAAATCCACACAATAGGCCAGGCGCGGTGGCTCACGCCTGTAATCCCAGCACTTTGGGAGGCCGAGACGGGCAGATCACGAGGTCAGGAGATCGAGACCATCCTGGCTAACACGGTGAAACCCCGTCTCTACTACAAATACAAAAAATTAGCCGGGCGTAGCGGCGGGCGCCTGTAGTCCCAGCTGCTCGAGAGGCTGAGGCAGGAGAATGGCGTGAACCTGGGGGGCGGAGCCTGCAGTGAGCCCAGATCGCGCTGCTGCACTCCAGCCTGGGCGACAAAGCGAGACTCTGACACACACACACACACACACACACACAAAAAAAATATTCCACACAATAAAAATATCAATAACCACCTACCTTAACAAAGTGATCTAGAAAGGTTAACTATAAAAGAAATAGAGAAACAAATATTACTGGAGAATGGAATCTATTAGGAACGTATTCTGTTGGTGCAAAGTAGTTGCAGTTCTTGCCACCGCCACAATTACTTTTGCACCAACCTAATAAGTTTTTACTGAATAAGAACACGTGAATAAAATAAACACAAAATGGGATTAGAAAAAAGTTAATATTCATTTATAACTTTAGAAAAAGCAAGATTCAATGAAAGATAGAATATTTTATTAATACAATATAGGATATATATGTAAAAACAATCAAACTATATGTATGTGGAAAAAATTAATGGCTATATCATTAAGTTAAGGAATCCTAAAAGAGCGCTGACAGTTTAATTTTTCTGAACGTGATAGCCAATGGAGTAAGACAAAATATATATGTCAGATTTAGAAAGGAAAAACTAAATATATTAGTCTGTTTTCACAGTGCTATAAAGAACTGCCTGAGACTGGACTATTTTGAAGGGAAAGAGGTTTAACTGACTCACAGTTCTGCATGGCTGGGTAGACCTCAGGAAACTTACAATCACGGCAGAAGTCAAAGCAAGGAACCTTTTTCACAACGCTGCAGGAGGAACTACAAAACACTTTTAAAACCATCACATCTCTTGAGAACTCACTCACTAATCCCAAGAACAGCACAGGGGAAGCTGCTCCCATGATTCAATTACCTCCACCTGGGCTCTCCCTTGACCCCCTGACACGTGGAGATTATAGAGAGTAAGCGGATTACAATTCAAGATGAGATTTTGGCTGGGACACAGCCAAACTATATCACCAAATTATCATTTAGTGAGAAAAAAAATCAAAGAAATTAACAAAAATTATTTTTAAATAAATTAAAAATACTCACCAATAGAGACAAGAAAAAATAGCTAAAATTTTTAATAATTTTATATGCACTAGTGAATGAAGAAAAAATTTTTTGAAATTTATAAAAGAGAAAAATTATCATCTACCTAGGAAATGATTATTTTTAGAGAATTTCATGAGGTTATTGGTTATAAAATATTATACACAAAATCAAAACACTTTCCATATACTTGTAATAATTAGGTATTAAACATTATGACAGAAATTCCCAGGTAAATCACATAGCTTGAACACGCTTACTTCCACGCCCTGTCAAAACGGAAGTAATTTGTTTACTGCATTAATTTACAAGGACCGAGGAAATGGGATTGGTGAGAGATGAGAGCAAAGAAAATGATAGTTTTAGAACCTGGAAAGCAGGTGGATCAGATAAGAAAAAGATAAGTGCTTCTGGGAGAAGCCAAGAAACAAGCCCGGAGGCTGTATGAGTTCAGTCAGGAATGAGGCCTTAGGTGCCACTGAAGGTGAAATGGCAGGTGGAGATGATAATAGGTCTCACTGAATTTCCATTCTTAAAAAAAAAAAAAAAAACAAAACGGTAAAGCCTGGAATTCCCGGCCCCTCCTCCTATGTGTGAGAAAAGTCCCTAATATGAAAAAGGGAACCCTGAGAAAGCAAAGTAGAGGCAGGGAGGTAAAATCATGTTGAAAGGCAATATGATTAATATCCTGAGAGACTTTTTTTAAAAAGAGATATTGTACTCTTAAAAGAAAGGGATAACATTCAAAAAGACTAATGGAGTCGGGCACCGTGGCTCCAGCCTCTACTCCTGCACTTTGGGACTTTGAGAGACCAAGGCAGAAGGATCACTTGAGGCCAGGAGTTCAAGACCACCCTGGGCAAGATAGTATGACCCCACTCCATCTACACAAAATTAGCTTGGCATGGTGGCACACAACCCATAGTCCCAGCTACTCTGGCTGAGACAGGAGGAGTGCTTGAGCCCAGGAACTGCAGGTTACAGTGAGCTATGATGGCACCAGTGCACTCCAGCCCAGGCAATAGAGCAAATGATACCCTGTCTCTAAAACAAATCAAAAAGACTCATTGAAGACAGCTCTTATAAAGGTAAAGAAATAAAACACAGAAGGAAAAAAAATTATTACATGGATTATTTTTCAAGAAGGCTATTTAATAGAACTATTTTAAAGAGCAATAAAATTCAAGAAAGAAAAAAGAGAGAGCAGATAGCAATGGAAGTGGAGGAGAGGGAACTATGAGAAATGAAGACCCACCGAATGCTCAGCAGATTTAATAAGGGAAAGGAAAATTCACACCAAGATACATCATTGTAAAATTTCAGAATACCTAGAGAAGGAAGTTTTCATGTTCTGAAACTTTTAGAAAGAAAAAATGACATTTGCATAGAAGTTATGATTAAAATACCATCATTTAATATTGCATAATTGTACAAATGTTTCCATTGAGGAAATATGAGGGAAGAATACAAGGGACTCTTTACAATTTTTGCAATTTCCTGTGGGTCTATAATTATTTCAAAATTAAAAATTTACAAGATTTCTTCAGACACTGCAACAGCAACACTGGAAGCTAGAAGACAATTAAATAACTTAGCAAGGCCTGCACATATCTGATGGGAAATGATTTCCAACACAGAATTCTATACTCAGCCAACCAATTATTCAAGTGTTAAAAAAAAATTTAAGTCTCAAGCAATTTTACTCTAAAGACAAATTTCTTATATTCCTGTAAGAAGTTCCCTCACCAAATCAAGAGAATAAAACCCAAATGAATAAGATATGAAATCCAAGAAACATGATATCCAGATGAAAGAGGTACTTAGGAAATCCTCACAATGATGATAAAAGGGCAGTTCTGGAACACAGTACGGGAAAGCCAAAAAGCAAAAGACCAAGTTGGAAATGAAGGCTCCCAAAAGCAATGTCTCCAAAATAAATAAATAAAATCAACATACTATGTGATACGTTTTAACTCCTTGAAAAAAGATTTATATTTCTGGTGAGACTCTGAGAATTAATAACAATAGTTAAATTGAAGAATACAAGGGAAAAGAAAAATGAATCACTCAGCAACCCACAAAAAATAAAAAGATGACCAAGGAAAGCAATATACAATGGAGGCATCATTTATAACTAATAATAGCAATGTCATAATAATATAAGCAGTGAATATTAATTTAACTAAAATGTTTGGGGTAGGTGGCATATATAAGAGAATATGATAGGAATCTAAAGATATGAAATTCAAAATTCAAAAACAGCAATGTGATTATGTTTTTTAGAAATATAGAAGTAAAAAGAAAATTAAAAAGCTAAAAGATTGGAAATGGTTTCCTCCAGAGTATAACAATTAGACTGGGGTAGGCCGGGCATGGTGGCTTATGCCTGTAATCCCAGCACTTTGGGAGGCCGAGGCAGGCGGATCACGAGGTCAGGAGATGGAGACCATCCTGCCTAACACGGTGCAACCCCGTCTCTACTAAAAATACAAAAAATTAGCTGGGCGTGGTGGTGGGCGCCTGTAGTCCCAGCTGCTGAGGAGGCTGAGGCAGGAGAATGGCGTGAACCCGGGAGGCGGAGCTTGCGGTGGGCCGAGATGGCGCCACTGCACTCCAGCCTGGGAGACAGAGCAAGACTCCGTCTCAAAACAAAACAAAACAAAACAAACAAAACAAAACAAAACAAAATTAGACTGGGGCCAAGTGGAGCAAAGTGTTCTCATTTCTCATTTTAAGAATCATTTGACTCTCTAAATTATGTTTATGAAATGCTTTGAATAATATTAGATTAAATTAAAAAAAAAATATAAATAAACCTTTAGGTTCTCTTGACAGAAAGTGAGAAACACCTAATTCATCCACCCTCAACTTCTCATTTTAATACCAGTGAAAGCATTTTTTAAATTATACTTTAAGTTCTGGGGTACATGTGCAGAATTTGCAGGTTTGTTACTTAGGTATACATGTGCCACGGTGGTTCGCTGCACCCATCAACGTGTCATCTACATTAGCTATTTCTCCTAATGCTATACCTCACCCAGCCTCCTACCCCTTGACAGGCCCTGGTGTGTGATGTTCCCCTCCCTGTGTCCATGTGTTCTCATTGTTCAGCTCTCACTTATGAATGAGAACATGCTGTATTTGGTTTTCAGTTCTTGTGTTAGTTTGCTGAGGATGATGGCTTCCAGCTTCATCCATGTCCCTGCAAAGGACATGATCTCATTCTTTTTTATGGCTGCATAGTATTCCATGGTGTATATGTACCACATATTCTTTATCCAGTCTATCATTGACGGGCATTTAAGTTGGTTACATGTCTTTGCTACTATAAATAGTGCAGCAGTAAACATACGTGTGGATGTGTCTTTACAGTAGAATGACTTATATTCCTTTGGATATATACCCAGTAACAGAATTGCTGGGTCAAATGGTATTTCTGGTTCTAGATTCAGGAGGAATTGCCACACTGTCTTCCACATAGCTGAAATAATTTACATTCCCACCAGTAGTATAAAAGCATTCATATTTTTCCATAGCCTCGTCAGCATCTGTTGTTTCTTAACTTTTTAATAATCGCTATTCTGACTGGCATTAGATGGTATCTCATTGTGGTTTTGATTTGCATTTTTCTAATGATCAGTGATGTTGAGCTTTTTTTCATATGTTTTTTGGCCACATAAATGTCTACTTTTGAGAAGTGTCTGTTCATATACTTTGCCCACTTTATGATGGGTTTTTTTTTTCTTGTAAATTTGTGTAAGTTCTTTGTAGATGCTGGATATTAGCCCTTTGTCAGATGGATAAACTGCAAAAATTTTCTCCCTTCTTACAGGTTGCTGGTTTACTCTGATGATAGTTTCTTTTGCTGTGCAGAAGCTCTTTAGTTTAATTAGATCCCATTTGTCAATTTTGGCTTTTGTGCCATTGCTTTGGTGTTTTAGTGATGAAGTCTTTGCACATGCCTATGTGCTGAATGGTATTGCCCAGGTTTTCTTCCAGGGTTTGTATGGTTTTATGTCTTTAATCCATCTTGGATTAGAGATTTAAGTCTTTAATCCATCTTGAGTTGATTTTTGTATAAGGTGTAAGGAAGGGATCCAGTTTCATCTTTCTACATATGGCTAGCCAGTTTTCCCAACACCATTTATTAAATAGGGAATCATTTCCCCATTGTTTGTTTTTGTCAGATTTGTCAAAGATCAGATGGTTGTAGATGTGTGGTGTTATTTCTGAAGCCTCTGTTCTGTTCCATTGGTCTGTATATCTGTTTTGGTACCAGTACCATGCTGTTTTGGTTACTGTAGCCTTGTAGTACAGTTTGAAGTCAGGTAGCATGATGCCTCTAGGTTTGTTCTTTTTTCTTAGGATTGTCTTGGCTATGCAGGCTTTATTTTGGTTCCCTATGAAATTTAAAGTAGTTTTTTCAAATTCTGTGAAGAAAGTCATTGGTAGTTTGATGGGGATAGTAATGAATCTATAAATTACTTTGGGCAGTATGGCCGTTTTCATGATATTGATTCCTCCTATCCATGAACATGGGATGTTTTTCCATTTGTTTGTATCCTTTCTTATTTCTTTGAGCAGTGGTTTGTAGTTCTCCTTGAAGAGGTACTTTATATCCCTAGTAAGTTGTAGTCCTAGGTATTTTTTTTTTGTAGCAATTGTGAAAGGGAGTTCACGCATGATTTGGCTCTCTGTTTGTCTGTTATTGGTGTATAGGAATGCTTGTGATTTTTGCACATTGATTTTGTATCCTGAGACTTTGCTAAAGTTGCTTATCAGCTTAAGGAGATTTTGGACTGAGACGATGGGGTTTTCTAAATATACAATCATGTCATCTGCAAAGAGAGACAATTTGACTTCCTCTTTTCCTAATTGAATACACTTTCTTTCTTTCTCTTTGCTGATTGCCCTGGTCAGAACTTCCAATACTGTGTTGAATAGGAGCAGTGACAGAGGGCATCCTTGTCTTGTGCTGGTTTTCAAAGAGAATGCTGCCAGTTTTTGCCCATTCAGTATGATATTGCCTGTGAGTTTGTCATAAATAGCTCTTATTATTTTGAAATACATTCCATCGATAACTAGTAAATTGAGAGTTTTTAGCATGAAGGGGTGTTGAAAATTCTCAAAGGCCTTTTCTGCATCTATTGAGATAATCATGCAGTTTTTGTCATTGATTCTGTTTATGTGATGGATTACGTTTATTGATTTGCATATGTTGAAACTGACTTGCATCCCAGGGATGAAGCCAACTTGATCGTGGTGGATAAGCTTTTTGATGTGCTGCTGGATTCAGTTTGCCAGTATTTTATTCAGGATTTTCACATCGATATTCATCAGGGATATTGGCCTGAAATTTTCTTTTTTTGTTGTGTCTCTGCCAGGTTTTGGTATCAGGATGATTCTGCTCTCATAAAATGAATTAGAGAGGACTCCCTTTTTCCTATTGTTTGGAATAGTTTCAGAAGGAATGGTACCAGCTCCTTTTGGTACCTCTGGTAGAATTTAGCTGTGAATCCCTCTGCTCCTGGGCTTTTTTTCATTGGTAGGCTATTAATTACTGCCCCAATTCCAGAACTTGTTATTGGTCTATTCAGGAATTTGACTTCTTCCTGGTTTAGTCTTGGGAAGTGGTATGTGTTCAGGAATGTATCTATTTCCTCTAGATTTTTTAGTTTATTTGCTTAGAGGTGTTTATAATATTCTCTGATGATAGTTTGTATTTCTGTGGGATTGGTGGTGATATCCCCATTATCATTTTTTATTGCATCTATTTGATTCTTCTCTCTTTTCTTCTTTATTAGTCTAGCTAGTGGTATATCTATTTTGTTGATCTTTTCAAAAAAAACAGCTCCTGGATTCATTGATTTTTTGAAGGATTTTTTGTCTCTAGCTCCTTTAGTTCTGCTTTGATGTTAGTTATTTCTTCTACTACCTTTTGAATGTGTTTGCTCTTGCTTCTATAGTTATTTTAATTGTTATGTTAGTGTGTCAATTTAGATCTTTCCTGCTTTCTCTTGTGGGCATTTTGTGCTATAAATTTCCTTCTACTCACTGCTTTAAATGTGTCCCAGAGATTCTGGTATATTGTGTCTTTTTTCTCATTGGTTTCAAAGAACATCTGTATTTCTGCCTTCATTTCGTTATTTACCCAGTAGTCTTTCAGGAGCAGGTTGTTCAGTTTCCATGTAGTTTTGAGTGAATTGCTTAATCCTGAGTTCTAATTTGATTGCACTGTGGTCTTAGAGACCGTTTGTTATGATTTCCTTTCTTTTGCATTTGCTGAGGAGTGTTTTACTTCCAATTATGTGGTCAATTTTAGAATAAGTGTGATGTGGTGCTGAGAAGAATGTATACTATGTTGATTTGGGGTAGAGAGTTCTGTAGATGTCTATTAGGTCTGCTTGGTCCAGAGCTGAGTTCAAGTCCTGGATATCCTTGTTAATTTTCTGCCTCATTGATCTGTCTAATATTGACAGTGGTGTATTAATGTCTGTCACTATTATTGTGTGGGAGTTTAAGTCTCTTTGTAGGTCATTATGAACTTGCTTTATGAATCTGGATGTTCCTGTATTGGGTGCATATATATTTAGGAGAGTTAGCTCTTCTTGTTGCATTGATCCCTTTACCGTTATGTAATTCCCTTCTTTGTCCTTTTGATCGTTGGTTTAAAGTCTGTTTTATCAGAAACTAGGATTGCAACCCAATTTTTTTTCTTTGCATTTGCTTGGTAAATATTCCTCCATCCCTTTATTTTCAGCCTATGTGTGTCTTTGCACATGAGATGAGTCTCCTGTATACAGCACACCCTTGGGTCTTGACTCTTTATCCAATTTGCCAGTCTGTGTCTGTTCACTGGGGCATTTACATTTAAGGTTAATATAGTTACGTGTGAATTTGATCCTGTCATTATGATGCTAGTTGGTTGTTTTGCCTGTTAGTTGATACAGTTTCTTCATAGCATCAATGGCCTTTACAGTTTGGCATGTTTTTGCAGTGGCTGGTACTGGTTGTTCCTTTCCATGTTTAGTGCTTCCTTCAGGAGCTCTTGTAAGGCAGGCCTCATGGTGAAAATCTCTCAGCATTTGCTTATCTGTAAGGGATTTTATTTCTCCTTTGCTTATGAAGCTTAGTTTGGCTGGATATGAAATTCTGGGTTGAAAATTCTTTTCTTTAAGAATATTGAATATTGGCCCCTACTCTCTTCTGGTTTGTAGGGTTTCTGCTGAGAGATCCACTGTCAGTCTGATGGGCTTCCCTTTGTGGGTAACCTGACCTTTCTCTCTGGCTGCCCTTAATATTTTTTCCTTCATTTCAACCTTGGGGAATCTGAAAATTATATGTCTTGGGGTTGCTCTTCTCGTAGAGTATCTTTGTGGTGTTCTCTGTATTTCCTGAATTTGAATGTTGGCCTGCCTTGCTAGGTTGGGGAAGTTATCCTGGGTGATATCATGAAGAGTGTTTTCTAACTTGGTTCCATTCTCCCGATCACGTTCAGGTACACCAATCAAACATAGATTTGGTCTTTTCTCATAGTCCCATATTTCTTGGAGGCTTTGTTCATTTCTTTTAACTCTTTTTTTCCTAATCTTGTCTTCTGTCTTTATTTCATTGAGTTGATCTTCAATCCCTGATATCCTTTCTTCTGCTCGATCGATTCAGCTATTGATACTTGTGTATGCTTCACGAAGTTCTCATGCTGTGTTTTTAGCTCCATCAGGTCACTGATGTTCTTCTCTAAGCTGGTTATTCTAGTTAGCAATTCATCTAAAATTTTTTCCACGTTCTTAGCTTCCTTGCATTGGGTTAGAACTTGATCCTTTAGCTTGGAGAAGTTTGTTGTTATGCACCTTCTGAAGCCGACTTCTGCTAATTCGTCAAGCTCATTCTCCATCCAGTTTTGTTCCTTTGCTAGTGAGGAGTTGTGATCCTTTGCACAAGAAGAGACGTTCTGTATTTTGGAATTTTCAGCTTTTTTGTGCTGGTTTCTCACCATCTTCATGGATTTTTCTAACTTTGGTCTTTGATGTTGGTGATGTTGACACTATTCCTTTCTGTTTGTTAGTTTTCCTTCTAATAGTCAGGCCCCTCTGCTGCAGGTCTGCTGGAATTTGCTAAAGGACCACTCCAGATCCTGTTTGCCTGGGTATCACCAGCAGAGGCTGCAGATCAACAAAGATTGCTGCCTGTTCGTGCCTGGGGAAGCTTTCTCCCAGAGGGGCACCTGCCAGATGCCAGCGAGAGCTTTCCTTTATGAGGTACCTGTCGGCCCCTGCTGGGAGGTGTCTTCCAGTCTGCATACACCGGGGGTCAGGGACCCACTTCAGGAGGCAGTCTGTACCTCATCAGTGCTCAAACACTGTACTGGGAGAACCGCAGCTCTCTTCACAGCTGTCAGGCAGGGACATTTAAATTTGCTGAAGCTGTGCCCACAGCCGCCCCTTCCCCAAGGTGATCTGTCCCAGGGAGCTGCAGTGGTCTCTGCCCAGTTCGAACTTCCCAGCAGCTTTGTTTACACTGTGAGGGTAAAACCCCCTACTCAAGCCTCAGCAGTGGTGGATGCCCCTCCCACCACCAAGTTGGAGTGTTCCAGGTCGACTTCAAACTGCTGTGGAGCAGCGAGAATTTCAAGCCAGTGGATCTTAGCTTGCTGGGCTCCGTGGAGGAGCAACCAGACTAGCCAGGCACCAAAGGGAATCTCCTAGTCTGCTGGTTGCAAAGGCCATGGGAAAGGCACAGTATCTGGGCCAGAATGCACCATTCCTCCCGATACAGTCTCTCACAGCTTCCCTTGGCTAAGAAAGGGAAATCCCCTGACCCCTTGTGCTTCCTGGGTGAGGTGACGCCCCACCCCGCTACGGCTCGCCCTCCGTGGGTTGCACCCACTGTCCAACCAGTTCCAGTGAGATGAACCGGGTACCTCAGTTGAAAATGCAGGAATCACCTGCCTTCTGTGTCGATCTTTCTGGGAGCTGCAGACCATTTTGCCAGCTACCCTCTGGCCCTCAGTATTTTTGAAGAGCAAAAAGCAGTCCTGAGACCAAAGGTTTGAATGCCTTGTACTAGACATGAGATCCTTCAGAGATGGTCTTTTTCTTCCCTTTTTCAATTTCATATGTGTATCATAATTTTTGAAAATTGCAAAAGTTAATAAATACTGAGTAGAAAAATAAATACAGTTTTCCCTCAGTATTGGTGTGGGATTGGTTCCAGGACTTCCTACAGATGCCAAAATGAGAAGCTGCTCAAGTCAATGATATAAATTAGCATAGTATTTGCATATAACCTGCAAACAACCTCCTGTATCCAGTTCTTTAAATCATGTCCAGATTACTGTAATACCTAATACTATGCCTACACATCATTTCATTTGTGTGGATTCAATGCAGTACCTGGTGAGGAAAAATTCAAGTTTTGCTTTTTGGAACTTTGCAGAATTTTTTTTCCCAAATATTTTTTATCTGCATTTGGTTGAATCCATTGATGTGGAACACACACATATAGAGGAACAACTGTATTGTAACTTCAAAAAACGTGTTTCCAATGACATATTGTTTTTCTGCATAGGGCTAACTGATCCATTTCCTAAATTGGTATGGCTTCTTGGCAAGGTTTAGTTTCTGCTGATGCATTCAAAATATAGTAAATATGGGCAGAGTGTGGTGGCTCAGGCCTGTAATCCCAGCACTTTGGGAGGCCGAGGTGGGTGGATCACCTGAGGTCAGGAGTTCACGATCAGCCTAGCCAACAAGATGAAACCCCGTCTAGTAAAAATACAAAAATTAGCTGGGCGTGGTGGTATGTGCCTGTACTTCCAGCTATTAGGGAGGCTGAGGTAGGAGAATTGCTTGAACCCCGGAGGCAGAGGTTGCAGAGAGCCAAGATCATGCTGCTGCCCTCCAGGCTGGGTGACACAGCGAGTCACCATCTCAAAAAAAACGTATATATATATGGTAAATATGAATCTAATGGAGAAAAATATGTGATTATGTGTGTCCCATGTGTGCAGGCATAGGTAGATGTGCTAGCAGTAGGGGCCTGCAAAGAGGAAAAGTAAGTATGACAGTTAATAACAACCATGCATATTATCCTACATTAAAGGATTATCTAATACCTCAAGAGGAGATTATATCACTAACTCTGTAGCGTTCATAATACGTCATATAGAGGAAATGCTAAAAGTTTGGTTTATTTTACTTTAAGTTTGGGATATATGTGCAGAACGTGCAGGTTTGTTACATAGATATACATGTGCCATGGTGATTTGCTGCACATATCAACCCATAATCTAGGTTTTAAGCCCACATGCATTAGATATTTGTCCTAATGCTCTCCCTTCCCTTGTCCCCCACCCCCCAACAGGCCCTAGTGTGTAATGTTACCCTTCCTGTGCCCATGTGTTCTAATTGTTCATCTCCCACTTATGAATGAGAAGGGGTGACATTTGGTTTTCTGTTCCTGTGTTAGTTTGCTTAGAATGATGGCTTCCAGCTTCATCCATGTTCCCGCAAAGGACATGAACTCACCCTTTTTCATGGCTACATGGTATTCCATGGTACATATGTGCCACATTTTCTTAATTCAGTCTATGATTGATGGGCATTTGGGTTACTTCCATGTCTTTGTTATCATAAACAGTGCTGCAATAAATATACGTATGCTTGTGTCTTTATAGTAGAATAATTTATATTCCTTTGGGTATATACCCAGTAATGCGATTGCGGGGTCAAATGTTATTTCCGGTTCTAGATCCTTGAGGCATCGCCACACTGTCTTCCACAATGGTTGAACTAATTTACACTCCCACCAACAGTGTAAAAGCATTCCTATATCTCCACAGCCTCGCCAGTATCTGTTGTTTCCTGACTTTTTAATAATTGCCATTCTGACTGGCGTGAGATGGTATCTCTTTGTGGTTTTGATTTGCATTTCTCTAATTACCAGTGGTGATGAGCTTGTTTTCGTATGTTTATTGGCTGCATAAATGTCTTCTTTTGAGAAGTGTCTGATCATATTCTTTCCCACTTTTTGATGGGGTCATTTGTCTTTTTCTTGTAAATTTGTTTAAGTTCCTTGTACATCCTAGATATTAGACCTTTGTCAGATGGGTAGATTGCAAAAAGTTTCTCCCATTCTGTAGGTTGCCTGTTCACTCTGATGATAGTTTATTTTGCTGTGCAGAAGCTCTTTTAGTTTAATTAGATCCCATTTGTCAATTTTGGCTTTGTTGTAATTGCTTTTGGTATTTTAGTTATGAAGTCTTAGCCTGTGCCTATGTTGTGAATGGGATTTCCTAGGTTTTCTTCTAGGGTTTTTATGGTTTGGGGGTTTTACAAGAAATGCTAAAAGTTTTAAGACTGTGTCACTCTATCATTTCCATTTACTGGAAGATGCTGCATCACAGCTTCTGAAATATGACAGACACTAAATAAATACTTTTTATTTGTAGCTACCTGAATCAAACTCCCCAAATCTGCAAAAGCAAAATTTCGCTTTTCCTGCAAAATACTCCAGTTAAATTTAGTTTGTGCTTATAGAATTTTTTTGTCTCCCCTTCCTCCAGGTTATTTGTTATGTTTATTTTTCCACTATTACCTTATGAGGTCTTGTGAATTAAGAACTACAACTTTCTCACGTTTTTATGCTCCTGATGCTTTTTGCTTTTAGTGGTCATTTGTTTTACTTGCTTGATATAGAAGATGCCAGATTTGGAATATCAACATTTGAGAGGTCAGATAAGTAAAAATACATGAGGTTGACTCTCCAGGACATTTCATTTCTTCCCAATATTGTCTTTTGATTTTGTAACTGTGGTTACAAATGAACTCAAGTTAGACATTTCTGAGCAGTCAGAGTGCCAAAAAGACAGCAAAGGAGGTGGTTAACTGATTACATCTTCCATGGCTACTCCAGTAAGTGCTGTAACATCAAGGTCAATATTGAAGACTAAAATTCCAAGCATCAATTGTGACAAAAGAAAAATAAAAACTCTGTTTGGTGGGGATTTAGTCTAAACTTAAGTTGTGTCTATAGTGTGATACATAGCCTAGATCAACCTGGTGTACAAGTGGAATAACCCCCACCTCAAGAGTTGCTTAATAAAGAGAATCTAAAGCTCTTCCATGAGAAAACTCTCTCTAAAGAAAGAGCACTATATGTAGCAAAATATTTTGTTTTGCTGGATAAAAGCCGTTCTGGACATAGCATGTAATTTGTTCCTCAGTTTAGCCCCACTCTAGTTAGAATTTATGTTGGATTCCAGTGCAATAAAGAGGAGTTGGAGCAGGCCTATAAATAAAGGATGAAAGTTCTGTTTCACTAAAACCTATTGGAGGTTTTGAGGTATTGATTGTGACAGACAAAAATATTTTATTTACAGTCTAATACAGCGTAATAAAAAGTAGGGAGATGCATTCTCTCTCACTTTGTAAAAAAAAAAAAAAAAAAAAAAAGGAGAGAGAGAGAGATGCCTTATGGATTTAGTAAAACACAGCAATAGTGTTCCACAAATTACCCTACCTGTACCTACTAATTTCAGTGAGGGCCCATAAGAAACTAACTAAGTAATTAAAAGAGGGGGGCTGTGTGCAGTGGCTCACGCCTGTAATCCCAGCACTTTGGGAGGCTGAGGTGGATAGATCACGAGGTCAAGAGACGGAGACCATCCTGGCCAACATGGTCAAACCCTGTCTCTACTAAAAATACAAAAATTAGCTGGGCATGGTGGCACGCACCTGTAATCCCAGCTACTCAGGAGGCTGAGGCAGGAGAATTGGTTGAACCTGGGAGGCAGGAGTTGCAGTGAGACGAGATAGCACCACTGCACTCCAGCCTGGGGACGGAGCAAGACTCCGTCTCAAAAAAAAAAAAAAAAGGTGGGGGGGCATAGATGGCAGGTTCCACACAAAATGTGACAATATTTGCTCATCAGAATGTATTAAGCACAGCTGGTGATTGCTGGAATTATTCAGGAGGGACTTTTCAGTAGGTAAGTTCCTGCAAGTGGGAACAGAAATAGATTATACATAAAAAGTTGTGTATCTGTTTCCATTCTATATCAGTTCATCTTTTCTTCTCTATCATAATCTCACTGATTTAATAAGATAAAATTAGGCATCTATAATTATCTTTAAGTTTCTACATCTATGGTCCCCTCCAGTGAGTAATTCATGAATAGCTAGCACTGGGCTGAAATGCACTGGTTAAGAGATGGTACACCTTCCTGTTAGTAAAACCCCCTTGTTAATAAAACATTTCAATTTTTCCAAAATAAAAAATTATTAAATAAATTGCTACTTTGAGTCCAAAATATGATTATCAAATGGGGCTGAAAAAAACCCATAGGTGTGTTGACAAATCTTTCTTCGGTGCTAACTGCTTTATTGCCCTAGTCACTCACCATTCTGTGGTCTTGACAATTATTTCTTGCAATTGTTTTCTTCCAACTATTCACACTTTCTTGCATTGTTTTTATATCAATTGGTGACTTTGTTTCCAATTTCACAATTAAAATAAAAATAATTAGACAAGAAATTCCAGGATTCCACTATACTTTTAATCTATTTTTTTGTATAGCTCATATGCCTTGGTTTTCTTTCAATTTCAATGTATAAAATATTCCTTGGCTCACACCTGTAATCCCAGCACTTTGGGAGGCAGGCAGATCACCTGAGGTTGGGAGTTCAAGACCAGCTTGGCCAACATGGGGAAACCCCCTCTCTACTAAAAATACAAAAATTAGCCTGGCGTGCTGCTGCGCACCTGTAATCCCAGCTACTCGGGAAGCTGAGGCGGAAGAATCGCTTGAACTTGGGAGGGGGAGGTTGCAGCGAGCCGAAAACACACCACTGCACTCCAGCCTGGGTAACAGAGTGAGACTCCATCTCTGGAAAAAAAAAAAAAAAATCCTGTTCCTATGAGGACCTCCTATCCACTCTACTAAAATAAATCACCTCAGTATTTAGTCCCTTTCTCTCTCATGTCAACGTAAAGCATAGCATGTCATCAGTCTTCCCTTTTTATTCAATGATTTCCATCAGATTACAATATGTAGTGATGTCTATCATCTTTGTAAAACAAATACATTTGTGAAGCAGGTTCACTATGTACTGGTTACCAACTTATCTGAGTCCAGTGAGACAGAACTCATGCAACAAGTTACCTGACATAATTTTTTTTTACTTACAGATGGAGAACAGAGACAACAGAATCCTAGGATTCATTATGAGCCAGATTGTCAAGGCTCAGAAAAGCTGACTGGGGCTTTGGAGTATTGACTGTGCATAACCAACCTTCTGAGGGACCCTAAAGGCAGTCTGTCCCCGGTTATATACTACAAGGTCACATGAGTTACTGGGCCAAAGAGTTGAGGGACATACTATTCTTGGGATGCGGATGAAGGGGTTGAGGGGGTACCTAGAACAGAGCCTTACCTGCTCTAGCCAGCTCTTCCTTATCTCAAGATGTTGCATTTTCAGGACATTATGTAGTTATTTTTGAGAGCCATGAGCAAGAAAGGGAGGCAAACTGGGTTAGTCCAAAGCCACCCTGAGAATTGTGCTGAACCATTGACTCCTCATTCTCATTCAAGAAATGTTTGTTTCTCTGACCCTTTCTTAGCAAATTTTATTGAGTTATTTAAACTCAGTGCCTGAATTTTCTTTTATTTCTTTCTTTTTAAAATAAAATTGTGTATGCATATAAAAAATCTAACCAAATGTGGGTTGTAAAACAAAACAAACACCTATGGGTGTTGTACTCAATTTATCTAATAGATTTTTATTAATAACATTGAATCTAACTGTACGCCTTACATTGCTATGTGTTGCATTTTTTTCATGCATTTCTACCTGTTGTGAAGTGTTACTTGTATGAATGGATAATTATATATTCGCTCTTCTATTGATTGTCTTCAGGTTTTGTTTTCCTTTTATTTCTATTGCTATTACAAATAATCTGTGATGAACAATTTTGTGTGTATCTTCTGACCAACATGAGCATTTTTTCCCTTAGGATATTTAGAAGTGTAATTGCCAGGATAATTAACCAATTTAGCATTTGCTTTTCATTTTTATTTCTTTGTTTCATTTATAACTGCTTTATGTTTATGGTATGGCATAGAGATAAAACATCTTTTTTTTCGAATATGGATAACAAATTCTCTTAGAAACATTTATCAAATAATTTCTTTGCTTTTAGTTATCTGGAATTACTCCTTTGTTATATGCATGTGTATGCATGCGTGGGTGTCTATGTGTTTATGAATGGTTTTGCTTATCTTTGTTACTAATTAATTCTGCTGTTTATAGCTATAATTTGTTAATTTTCCTTAGTGTTTAATATGTTAGTTTGACAAAAACATATGTTTGGAAAGCACTGGAGAGAGATGGGATGTTTTTAGGTAATGGAATTTGCTGTATAATGAGAAAGTAGATCACATGGTACTTCTATTAAATGAAATAACATTTAAAAATTGTAAGACCCATACATACATAATGGAGATACAAGAGACAACAGAATAATAATAACAGAGAAGAAAAAAACAACAGAAACCTAGTATTCATTCCATTTTCATAAAGCAAAATGGAATTTGCTCTATAATTAGCAAGGTCACATGGTACTTATGGCAAATGAGATAGCAATTTTTTTTTATTATGAGGCCCCCACATAGGTATAAGCTTCCATTCATTTCTTAGCAGTGTAAAAGTAAATTGAAACTTTTAAATTAATATATCAAAATTTCAAAAACTAAATTCAGCTTATAAACCATATGACCGGCTGCCAAATATTTTTTTTTTTTCAAAAGAGCACTTCAAAATCCTTAGGTTTGCAGTAAGCCCTTTCACCTCAACTTCAATCTTGGCATTTATGGCATTTATATATATTAATAAACATTTTCAAGACCAGGAAATAAAGGAACTAACTGATCTTCTCTTCTATTTCAATTCTTATGCTGGAAAAAAAAATGTGACCAGTGTAACATTAAATAGAGAATAATGTGAAATTAAACGGATATTATCAAAATGGAAGAGGAACTCATAGGAAAGAACGTTATGCAATATTACAAATTTCCAAAAAAAGAAACTAAACAGAATTATTTCAAAAATACATCTCCAAGTGAAGACAAGGCTAAAAAGCTAAATGTTGTATGCCTCTTTAGAAGTATTTAATTTACATATATTTTAAATGTTTACAAAACAAAGGTTTCTAACAGCATTATATCTAAAAACAAAGGCTCAACTCATACTCACACAAATCACACAAATCAAAGAGCTTACAAAACAGTAAGATTTACTAAGTATTAAAGGATACACATAACCCTAAGGCAAATGCAGCTGGGAGATGTCAGGAACTGCCAGCTTATCTATCCTTCTTGCTACTTTGGATGTACTCTTGCCAACACTGGATGTGAAGTTCCCAGATTATTGCATGCAGCTACATTACTCACAAAAAGAGATCTGTTTTGATCAGTAAACCCTTCCATTTTATGTTCAGAGAGTTACACAGCATATGTGATATGTTGCAGAAAGCCATATTCAAGAAATCCATGGATTCCAGATTTGTTTACTATGAAAATAACTAGATAGATCAGGTACATCTTTCTAAAAGTATTCCATAGATAAGGAATCTTCTGCAATAAAAACTATTAGTTTGTTTTCTAGGAGGTCTGACATTAGCATGCTTACAAGCTTATTTGACTACCTCATTTTCTTTCTTTATCAGAGTATTTCCCTCTAGCAGTTGTATGCAACTGCTGTTTAACCATTTACTGCATAATATTCCTAAAATTTGAATTGTATTGGACAGAATTTCTAAGGTAAATAATATTTAGACATAATTGGAGATTTGTTTTGTGGATCATTTTTGAAAGAATAAAATGTAATAGCTTTCTAAAACAATATGATTTTGAAATACTGATATTTTAAGTAGAATATTTTAATAGTAAACCCACATCACCTATAGCATTTCTAAAGGATACTTTACTATCATATTATTTAAAGTAATGTAAACTATGGATAGACAGAGATGATTTTAAACACAAATATCTTCATGATAGAAATGTGGCATGAATTATTTTGAACCTACATAAATGTGTACTATAGACTTCATGTCTGAGATTCAGGAATTAATACATTCAAACTGAAACTTACTGGGATACTTTACAATTATAAACTTGTACTTAAAGGTAAAAAATCAACTTGAAGGTAGAGAAATATAATAAATGATTTCTCATCCTGCTGTACAAATTATAACCCAGATATTTTTGATCTAGAAAATTTACCAGAGATTTGGAACCCGTTCTAAGCCTATTTCTCTCCAACTTAAAGGACCAGTAGCTGTTAAATGTAATTTATTGAATACTTGAGGAATAGAAGGCCCAAAGGCATTGGCATCATCCCACTGTGGCCTTGTAAGTGATATTCTTTCTCAAGAAGACCCTCATAAAACTGAAATTAAACCTGTAGGATCATTCAAAAACATAGCATTTTACAAAGAATTTAGTTCAACAATATCTGGGATTTTGAATTTAATGCATTTTTTACATTTAATGTTTTTAAGAAATAATATATCTTTTAGCTGCTAGATTGTAGACTGCATATGTGTGACCATCCTCCCCCCAATATACACATGCACACACACCTCTACACAAACACTTATTTGATAGATTACAGGGACCATTTTAAATATTAATAAATTCATGATTATACTACATATTCACATTAGAAACAGAAAACTGTAGACCAGAAATAGTGATGAAATGCTGAAGGAAGGAAACAATTGGCAATCTACAGTTATAGATAAGGCCTAACCCCATTGTCTATGGTTTTGTGCTGTTTCATCTTGTTTTGTTTTGTTTTGTTTTGAGATAGGGTCTCACTTTGTCTCCCACACTGGAACACCATGGCGTGATCATAGCTACTGTAGCCTCTACTTCCCCGACTGAGTTCACCTCTGTCTCCTGAGTAGCTGGGCGCAGGCAGAACCATCTTGGCTATTTTGACCCTTATATATTTTTTGTAGAGAGAGTCTCACTACATTGCCCAGGCTGGTCTTGAACTCCTGGCCTCAAGCAATTCTCTTGCCTCAGTCTCCCAAAGTGGTGGGATTACTGGTGTGAGCCATGGTGTCCAGACTTGTCTAAGCTTTTAGAACTCAAATTGGACCACAGAAACGAGGATGTGAGCCAAAGTCATGCTTTTACCATGGCACAAAAATTAGTGTTTCTGGAGTTGTGCATAACCCAGGATCAGAATCATGCATCAGACAGTGACCCAGAACCCAAAAATGGGCCACATCCCAAAATCAGAAATGAAACACATATTTGTGTGAGGTGAGGCTACGGAATTCTTAGGCCAGACATAAATTTCTTGTTATTATTAAATATATTACCCATTTATCAATTTATTTCTTATAAATCATTTAAATTGTAATTATTTCCTTCTTTAAAATGACTTGAAATATGAAACAGATTATTTGCTATGTACTTCCTAATTAATATTTGCTCCCTACTGAGAACAATTCATGCCTGGATCCAAGGTGAGTTAATTTTTTCTTGAATAAAATATTAGAAGCTGAAATATATTTTATTTCTACTTTTAAGGTAACTTATACACATCTCTGAGATATCCTTCTTTTATACAATGAAACGGTTACTGCATTTTTAAGACAAAAAGTCTATATCTTGCTTGTATTTGGTAAAGAATGATTTATAATAAGTATTTATTAAATTCACAATTGATATAATTAACAGTTCAGAATTTTACAGTTAATCTATATGAGAGTATTTGCAAGTAATTATACTTGATTCTACATTTTCAATATCGTCAACATTTCAGTGAAAGAGATGAACTTGCATGCATTACTACGTTGTAAGCCAGCAAACCAGTAAGCTTTTCAACCAGTTAGGTTTGTAAAGTTTACCCTTACTTGGTAATACTTAAGTCATCATAAAAAAGTTAATGGGTGCAGCACACAAACATGGCACATGTATACATATGTAACTAACCTGCAAGTTGTGCACATGTACCCTAAAACTTAAAGTATAATAAAAAAAGAAAAGAAAAAGAAAAAAAGAAAGAAGAGTAACTAACAAAGGTGAAAATGCAAATTAACAAAAGCCGAAGAAATTTACCTTGATCACGAATATGTCTCTCACTGGAGGCCAGTCATGATGACCCTATTTCATTCCTGCAGGTCCTCCCCTCAAGTACTTTTTTAGAAAACGGCAACATTAAAGGAAAGCTGCCATTTCAAAATAAGTAACATTATAAGGAAACTAGCATGGGAATTTTCTTATTTACAACCAACGTCTCTCAATACTTAACTATAAATTCTACAAAGGATCAGAACATATTTCTTTAAAAATGAGTTTTATTATATCAAAGAAAATAATGGGGTATCCCAAACTGCAAGACAAAAAAGAAAGACTAGATTTCAAAGAGATTATAATAACACAGAAGGAGATGTGATGTAAACTGGTAGAGCTCAGGAAATAAATGAAAGTGAAAAGTAAGATATTACAGAAAGTAGAGCCTCATTTAAAATGTCGATTCTCCCCTGATTACTCCAGTGAGTAATCTGCTGCCAGGAATGTACCGTGCCAAGGCCCCCAATCACAGCAGCAACCTTTTTGAAAAGGAAGAGTGACAATCTTGTATTTTGAACAGGTTTTTATTCAAAGGCTATAATTACACATTGGCAACTCTCATTTTCCTTTCTTATAGCTGCTTCTCCTCCCAGGAACTTCAAATGTATCTCCCCACCTGGAGTGCTTTCTGCTGCTCTCCATGCTCGTTTTCAATTCAGGGCGGAGGGATCATGAAATGCTGAGATTTCCAGCACCGAGGTCTAGCGATGACACGCTGTGAAACTGTCTCCACATCAACCCGAAGCCAGCAGGCTCCCAGCCGTCCTTAGGCTTGTCAGAAGCAGGAACCCTAATGAAAACACCTTGGCAGATGCACCATAAAAAGAAACTAGGAAATAATACATTTGAGAGGAGAAATCTGAGGAAATGCCAAGATGCCATCTTTTTTTTTTTCTTTTTTTTTTTACTAGAAGGCCTCCTCCTTAAACTATTTGTGCATTTGATAGTAGCACAACTTTATCATGCATCTCAGGCTTACAGAAGCACGTAGAACCAAGAAAGACGTTTTCCAAAATTGTTTCAGTGTAAAATAACTCTTACATTAGTGTCTTTCCATTTTACATCAGGTCGGACTGAGGATGTAAAATATGTGTCAAGTAATGCGGAGCTCCTTGATACCTGCCAGAAGTCGCAGTACCTTAAGAATCATTACATTCCATTTTATGTCAACCTTTTAGGGAAATGAATGTGTTTTTGACAATGGCACTGCTATTCAAATGCTACCAAGCAATAAAAATGTTGGAGAGACCGTAGCATTCGTTGATTTGTGAGAAGTGGTTTTAGTTCTAGGTCACCTATAAGTGGCCATGTAAGCTTACTACAGTA
This sequence comes from Homo sapiens, assembly GCF_000001405.40. Taxonomy (NCBI): domain Eukaryota; kingdom Metazoa; phylum Chordata; class Mammalia; order Primates; family Hominidae; genus Homo; species Homo sapiens. Next base: position 98,736,424 of record NC_000011.10, on the reverse strand, counting down.
ATTTAGAAAAACTTGTTTCTGAGTTTTCTCATTTGTAAAATGAGCTACCAACATCGGCCACGCGGATTTAACGGGGATTTCAAAGATTTCCTTGCACTTTAATAACAGTCTGCTTTACAATTAAAGATCTCTTCCTTCCAGTAATGCACCCACCCACTCTAGCTTATCGCCCAGGTAAACTCTTCTTTTTTATTATTTTCTCTTTATTCTCATCATTTTCCAACTTCCCAATTTCCAAGAAATAATACTTGTTTTATTCTCTTTTATAGTTCAGTGGTTTTTACTAAACATGCCAATTCCTTACTTTGAGAGGTTGTTTTACTGGCTTGGTAGAGATCATGACCTGCAATTCTTTAAAAAGTCACTGATGATTCTGATGAAAAAAAAAAATCTTTGTGTAGTACAATTTAAGAAACCCTCTGATGACAGCTTCTCTTATGTATTTCTATTACGGTATTTCCACATGTTATAATACAACTGGCCAGGCGCAGTGGCTCAGGCCTGTAATCCCAGTACTTTGGGAGGCTGAGGTGGGCGGATCACCTGAGGTCGGAAGTTCGAGACCAGCCTGACATTGTGACAATGAATGTTATTACAGTCACAATTATATAATAATGCAATATAGATATCAAGCCAATAGATTTTTAAAAATTGGACTTATAGAAAATATGCATTAATGCTAATGTCTGACAAAAGAAATAAAGATGAGATCAATGAAATACAAATAGCAAGCAGCTAGAATTAATCCTAATCACATCAGTGTTCTTATTACGTACAAATGGTCTAAACACCCTGATTAAAAGGTTGAGATTGTCAGTTCACATTGAGAAAGAGAGATCTAAGTATGTTCTGCCTGCAGGGAATAACTTGATATATAACAACACAATGTAAAAACATGAAATTAACTTCAGAAACGTTAAAGATCTCAGTGAACTCACTCTCTCATGCAAAAACAACAAAATACTGGCAAAACAATTAAAATAAACTCCTTCAGGACTCTATTAATTAATGCCACAGAAAGAGTTGAAAATCTTCTACCAAGAGAAACTATGGAACCTCAATAAGAAAGCAGAGTGTATGATGTTTGCCCAGGCCAGTGGTGTGGTAGCTAGCTATGAACGAGTGACAGCCTCGTACCTAACAGAGAAGAATAACCTATTGCGGAGCTCTGTTAAAAGCTCCATGGCCAGAAATAGTCAATATTTAGTCCAGATTTTCAGGTCTCAGGAAAATTTCTACATGCAAGATTTTGTGGTTATTTATTTTGACTCAGCGCTCAGTTCAGGCAAACATAAAACAATAAGCAACAAATGAACAAACAAAAAACCTACCTTCAGGGTACTACCATAAACTATTGTAATATGTTGACAATATCACAGCTGCTTTAGGCTGTAATTTAATTTGGGACAAAGAAGAGTCTGGCAAAAGTTTAAAATGACATCCTGGTAAACTAGGCAATCATAGGCAGCTTTGAAAAGTTTTGACAGTCTTGGGGATAGAAAAGCCTGTACATGCTCAAGGCTAGTTTCATGCCCAAGACATAAATGGTGAAGTCATCAGTCACTCACTTCTGACTGACACAGAGGCCTTGTGCAAGCAGGAAATGAAAGCTAAAACTGTATCATAGCTTACCTGAAGCTTGAAGGTATGCCTTTTCACACATATACCCCAAGTAAGGGGTGCAAGTTACACAGTTGAGGGATCTAAGAAAATCATCTAACCTGCCACTAGAGGATCACTAAATTATACTGATCTTTATGCAGAGGAAGTCAGGCTTAAAGAATAAGAAGTTGAAAACAAAACGAAACAAAACAAAATCAAAAGGCTAGTAGACAATGTAGTGGCCTCACACTGTAAGGAATGTATAACCTACAAAATTTGTCCAGCAAAGTTGCAAAATTAACAAAAAGCAATAGTATCAAGAAACAACAATCTCTGGCCAGGCAGTGGGAGGGTGGGGATCCCTAATATCAGCATTGTTACAATATATCAATTAAAGTGCCACATTTTAATAAAAAATCACAAAACCTGCAAAGAAACCAAAAAGTAAGTCACATACTAAAAAATTTAGCCAGAACAAACATCCTGGGGGGCCAGATGTTGAACTTCTCAGAAAAAAAGACTACAAAACAGCTATTATAAACATGTTTACAAAAACCAAAGGAAACCAAGTCTAAAGACTAAAAAACAAAGTATGCCAGCAATGTCTCACAAGACACAGAATATCAAAAGATTGTCATTTAAAAATCCAAATCTGCTTGTGAATACCCCTTCATGCTTCTGTATCTGCTAGAAAATTCTGCATATGAAATTCTGTGGTCATTCACACACAGAAACTACATTGATGTAGGATTTTTCTTCTCAGTCACTTTGCAGGCTGGGGAGCCCCAGCCAGTGACACCCCACCAGGGTCCCACTTGGCCACACTGGCGTGACCCAGCTCACCTGAGTGCAGGATCTTTTATGGACTCAGAATGGGGAGTGCATGCTGATTGGTTTGTGAGTATGCAAAAAATAGTTAAAGCAAAGACACCACTTGTTGGGGTGATCAGACTCAACACCAGGTCATGGGGGCAATGAAGTCCAGCGGAGTCAAAGGAATGAGAAAAGACAGTTTGAGAGAGAAAGTGGATCCAGGGGGCCAATGCAAGTATGGAGGCTGCAAAAGCCCTGAGCTCTGGAAGTCCAGACTATTTAATGGTGAACAAACAAACAGTTGGTGAGAATGTGGGGGTCGAAACGGAGCGTTGCATTAAGCACATGATTTACAGCTGTGACGGTTTAGCATATGGTCTGCTACTTGAGATAATGGAGGGCAGGTTCTTTTAACTCAAGATACAATCAATCCTGGGAGAGCAAGGAGCAAGGAGCCAGCAAGTCTAGACACATTCCAGAGCCATGAGGGGTTTTATGCCTTGAGCCCTGGATTCTATCCAAGCCACAAGGGGTTTTGTGCCCTGGGCTTAGATTATGGTGTGTCAGGGTAGCCTTCCACCCTTTAGCATAGAGCTTGGTGTTCCAAAGGCCACGAGAGGTTTTAGACCCTGGACCCAGGACTTGTTCCAAGACTCTTTTACATTATGTCAGACAGGCAAGCCCTGCCTCAGCTTCTCTCCCAACACTCAGCTTTTCTCCCAACATCACTCAAAGGTGGGCACAACAGTGTAGAAAAATTAATTAGGAAAGGGTAGGTATATGTAAAATAGGAGAAGGGTGGAGACCAATCAGAGGAAAGTGTGCCAAACAGGAAGACAAGTTCTCAATCCGGTCCAAGGTTTTAACTTGTAGCTTGGCTTTCAGGCTGTAACCTGCCTTCAGTTTGGAGGTAGGGTTTCACCAGGGACCCAGCCCTATCTGCCTAGGCATTTGGCTTCCTCCTGCACTCTCAACATCAACTTCCAATAGTTGAGATGACACAAAGATAGCCCTCAGAAGGTGTAGTGATACTACATATTTTAAAAAGCATCACCAGCTTAAATAATTCTTTAACAAGATATTTGGATAAACTGTCAGAAGAGGAGAGAACTTAATCTCGAATACTTCACATTGCTTAACTTGACTCAGCTGATTCCTACTCTGGTTAATAGGTCTTGGCATCAGCCTAGAGTTTTCCAGTGGATGTTGAATCAAGTTTTGAAAGAAGATGACGTTCAAGTTTCAGGGAAAATTCAAATCATAAGACAGTCAAGGAATTAAGGAAGAGCACATCATGAACCTTAGGTGATTGTAGATTCATGAAATCTCAGAGTTGGAAAATAATTTAAAGGCCATCCTGAATAAAAAGATCACATTTATTGTCTGTTTCAAGATGATTTTTTCTTTCATGCATATCTGAGACAACATAAAGCTATTAAATACATGAAAGAATATCCTTATTACTTAGGAAAAGTTGAGTATAAAATAATCACCACCAAAATTTCATTTCATTAAACATTTTAATAATATTCAGACAGATATTAATGCTTATGAATGCTATTTGTTTGCTAAATCAGTTAACAACATTGCTTGATCAACTCATCTATCATCCAGATTAAGAAAGCTTGTATATGCATAAAAAGGATAAAATAATGAAGTCTGGATAATAGAGGAAGCAATATTATATGCTATTCAAGGCCAGGTGTGGTGGCTCATGCCTGTAATCCCAGCACTTTTGGAGGCCGAGGCAGGCAGATCACATGAGGTCAGGAGTTTGAGACCAGCCTGACCAACAACAGGAGTTTGAGACCAGCCTGAAACCCTGATTTTACTAAAAATACAAAAGAACTAGCCGGGCATGGTGACATGCACCTGTAATCCCAGTTACTTGGGAGGCTGAGGCATGAGAATAGCTTGAACCCAGGAGGCAGAGGTTGCCATGAGCTAAGATCATGCCATTGCACTCCAGCCCAACCTGAGTGACAGAGGGAGACTCCACCTCAGAAAAAAAAAAAAGTATGTGCTATTCTAACAAAATAAATAGTTTTTTGGTACTTATTTTGTGTCCAAAAACATTCCTGAGTATTTAATGGTGAGCAAAATGATGTGAGCTTTCTCCTTTCAGTGAATTCACACTATAGTTTATTAGGGAACAAACACATAAATAAATAATCTCATAAGAGAATGTAGAATTTAAAATTGAGAAATGAGCTGGGAAGGAATGAAAAATTTAACAAAATAATCTGAACAAGACTGTGTCTAGAGGCAGACATTTCTGAAGTAACACTTGAGCAAGGTCTAGAGCATAAACATGAGTAGGATAATGCAGATGGACAGAAGTTAACTGGACCAAAAGAACTGGTCACACATACTTGACCTGACTCCTTCCCATCTCTCAAGTTAATCTCAAAACATCCTTTTACTTGCTCTTGAAGAAAAAGGGCTTGACTGACTCACTCAACAAAGGAAGAGGGAGAAAATGGTGTTGAAATAGAACTAATAACCTAAGTAAGGATCATGAAGGGCCTTGTAAGTCATCCTTACTAAATTGTAGAAGCCACAGAATAATTTTTCAACAATGAGTTTGGTGAGAAAATATGAGATTTGCTTTCTTGAGACTATCACTCTGCATGTATCATAGAGAAGACAAGTGATGATGTATAATGTAATTGGAAGTTCTCAGAATATACTTGTGTGACTAAACGTAATGTCTCTTGAATTAAGGAAACACACATAACAAATGCATATCTATATAATACCACACATACACGCATACAGTCATTCACATGATACTCAAAATACACACAGCACAGCTACATGCATGAATAAATTTAAAACATATATATAATGTAAGAATGTCAGATGAGCTCAACTTCTAAAAGCTTTGTGAACTTTTTATTAAACTACTGAATAAAAGATTATAAAACTGAAGACAGATACACATAGGTACATATATGTTTTCTAGCCTTTTCAGGTTGACAATTTCAAGGTTCCAAAATTAGTCTCTAACCAGTATAACATGTGACTGGATACTGTAAACCCTATTTCCATTTTTTCCTATCTCTTTCCATGTGACCCACTTGCTAATAGTCCCTTATGAGGTGATCATCAGGTCAAATGTGAAACTTTCACTTAGGAAATGATGCACTAGGAAAAAGTGTCTAAGGTCCATGTTCTTTCATTTGCTTGAAGCTCATCAGAAACTTGAATTCAAACAAAATGGCACTTATTTTCTAAAAATATATATTCCTTAGTAAAATTCTTGACATTAAATGTATTGGTACAATGAAGATAATTTTTTCCTTAGGAAATTAGTAGTGAGAACTAATCTGATTCTGGATTGAAAACAATAGCAACAAAAATAACAAGAGCAAAAATTAGACACTGTAATGAAAGGTTCATGGCTTTCCATTTCGTTCAGTCTTGAGGCATGATTAAAATTGGCTGCGGCTGTGTTAATGTATATATAGCCCATCCTTTTTCTTTAGAATAGGCTTGAATGTATTTTTCCCACTTTGGCTGCTTACTTGTGCTGGAGCAATAATATTCCATGAGAAACTTTGAGCTCTGGACTAAATAACTTTTTTTTTTTTTTTTTTTTTTTTAGACAGTCTTGCTCTGTCGCCGAGGTTGGAGTACAGTGGTGTGGTCTCCACTCACTGCAAGCTCCCTCTCCCGGGTTCACGCCATTCTCCTGCCTCAGCCTCCCAAGTAGCTGGGACTACAAGGCGCCTGCCACCACGCCCAGCTAATTTATTTATTTATTTATTTATTTATTTTCTATTTTTAGTAGAGACGGGGTTTCACCATGTTAGCCAGGATGGTCTCGATCTCCTGACCTTGTGATCCACCCGCCTCGGCCTCCCAAAGTGCTGGGATTACAGGCGTGAGCCACTGTGCCCAGCCTAGAACTTTTAATCATGATTGAAGAAGCCATAGATAAGACACATAATTAGCAAGCTATCATTTGCTTTGTAATTGAGAAGATACAGACCTTCTTCTAGCTCCTGATCTGCCAATCTGCTAATAAATCAGGACTATTTCTTAAAAATGTCCTTAGTGTATTACAAAATGTATGAACAGAATTAACTATTTTTCATGGGGTTGTTTTATTTTTTTATTTAATATATGACCCTTTTGATTCCTGAGGTTTGAGTCTTATAGACTCAATAAGTATTCTATTAGTATTCTTATAGACTCAAATACTTACAGACTCAGTAAGTATTCTATTAGTATTCTAATTAGTATCCTAATACTTATTCTATTAATATTCTATTTATCTCAGTGTATTTTAAGTGTTCAAAAATATCTTGTGAATTTAGTTGGACATATCACTGATAAATAATTAATTTTATCTGGTCTAAAAACATGTTTCAGCTGGGCGCAGTGGCTCACACCTGTAACCCCAGCACTTTGGGAGGCTGAGGCAGGTGGATCACCCGAGGTCAGGAGTTTGAGACCAACCTGACCAACATGGTGAAACGTGGTCCCTACTAAAAAAAAAAAAAAATTAGCTGGGCATGGTGGTACACGCCTGTAATCCCAACTACTCTGGAGGCCGAGGCAGAAGAATCCCTTGAACCCGGTAGGCGAAGCTTGCAGTGAGCTGAGATTGCACCATTGCACTCCAGCCTGGGCAAAAATAGCACAACTCTGTCTCAAAATAAATAAATAAATAAATAAATAAATAAATAAATAAATAAATAAGCAAGCAAATAAAAATATGTTTCTAAGTCTCTGTTAATCCCGTATATGTTTATTTGAATAGGTATGGATACATTTGTTTATTTTCACCATATATTATGGCATGAGAGGAAGCATTTGGATGGCATGAAAGACGTATGTTTCTTTTACTCTTCAGCTTAAGACTTAGGAAACCCCAGTTGTTTAGTGTTCCCCACAGGGTTTTTAGAATTTCAGTTCTAGTTATTTCTGTTACTAACTCACTTATGTTCTGTTACCTTATGTCTAAATGTAACTTTTTAAATTGTAATTTAGAAGTAATATGTCTCTCTCTTCATCATTCTATGATTACATGTAATGAGGTTCTCCATACGTCATGTTCACAGATATGTCAAATGCGCGTGAATACCAAAAATTTGGGACTACTCATGCTATTTGACATACTTTGCCATTGCTTAACGTTAGGGTATGGCCAGTCTCATGTATTTTTTAGTCATTAGATGGTAATATCTTACGAAGACATTGGAACTGCATAAAATTCAAAATAGTGAACTAAAAGACAAATATCCATTAGGATATTAACTTCTTATCAGATATATGGTTTTCAGATATGTTCTCCCGTCTGCAGGCTGCCTTTCATTTTGTTGACTGTTTCCTTTGTTGTGCAGAAGGTCTTTATTAGTTTGACAGTCCCATTCGTTTATTTTTGCCTACGTTGCTTGAATTTTTGGTGTGATATACAAAACAACCATTGTCAAGGCCAATATCAATGGACTTTATTTCTATGTATTCTTCTAGGAGTTTTGTGGTTTCATATCTTAGGTTTAGGTCTTCAATCCATTTTGAGTTGATTTTTGTGTATAGTGTGAAGCAAGGATCCAGTTTCATTCTTTTACATGTGACTATCTTGTTTTCCCAATACTATTTGTTAGACAGAGTATCCTTTCTATGTGTGTCTTCTTGGTGGTCTTGTTAGAAATCAGCTGTCTGTATATTTTTTTATTTATTTCCGGGCTATCTATTCTGTTCCATTGGGCCGTATATGTGTTTTAATGCCAGTACCACACTATTTTGATGACTACAGCTTTGCAATACAATTTTACATCAGAAATTGTGATGCAACGAACTTTGTTTTTCTTTCTCAAGATCGTTTTGGCTATAGCAGATGTTTTGTGGTTCCATATACATTTTAGAATTGGTTTTATTTTTAATTTTTGTAAAAAATGTCATTGGAATTTTGATAGGGATTTCATTGAATTTGTAGATTACTTTGCATAAAAATGGACATATTAACAACATTAACTCTTCAAATTCACAACACAGGATATCTTTCTATTTGTTTCTGTGTTCTTCAATTTCTTTCAATGTTTTAAGTGTACATATCTTTTACTTTCTTGGTTAAATTTATTCTTGGGTATTTGACTTTGATGCTATTGTAAATTGAATTGTTTTCTTTATTTTTTTAATAAATCTTGATTGGCAAATAAATGTGACTGATTTTATATGTTGATCCTCTATCGTGTGCCTCTATTGAATTAATTTATTGGTACTAGCAGTTTTGTCTGAAATTGTTGAGGTTTCCTTCATATAAGATTATGTCATCTGCAAACAGAAATAAATTTAAATTTTTTCTTTTCAATTTGAATGTTATTTTTTTTTCTTGTCTGATTGCTCTTGCTAGTACTATGTTGAATAGAAGCGGTGAGGCCATATATATGATAAGGGGTTAATATGTAAAAGATATAAGAAACTCATCCAACTCACAGCAGAAAAGAATCATCCTATTACAAAATGGAAAAAGGAAGTGATTAGAATATTTTTTTCCAAAGAAGACATGCAAATGACCAACAGGTATATGAAAGGTGCTTAATATCAGTAATCATCAGCAAAATGAAAACCAAAATCACAATGATATATCATCTTACACCTGTTAGGTGAGATATTATTATTATTATTATTATGACACAGTCTTGCTCTGTTGCCCAGGCTGAAGTGCAGTGATGCAATCTTGGCTCTGCAAATTCTGCCTCCCAGGTTCAAGTGATCCTTCCACCTCAGACTTCTGAGTAGCTAGCACTACAGTTGCACACCACCATGCCTGGCTAATTTTTGAATTTTTTGTAGAGATGGTGTGATGGTTAATATTGAGTGTCAACTTGATTGGATTGACGAATGCAAAGTATTGTTTCTGGGTGTGTCTGTGAAAGTGTTGCCAAAGGAGATCAACATTTGAGTCAGTGGACTGGGAGAGGCAGACCCACCCTTAATCTGGGTGGGCATCATCCAATCAACTGCCAGGGTGGTTAGGATAAAAGCAGGCAGAGGATCTTGCTGAGCCTTCTGGTCTCCATCTTTCTTCCATGCTGGATGCTTCCTGCCCTTCAACATTGGACTCCACGTTTTTTAGCTTTTTTTACTTTTGGGCCTACACCAATGGTTTGCCAGGGACTCTCAAGCATTCAAGCACAGGTTGAAGGATGCACCGTTGGCTTCCCTACTTTTGAGATTTTGGGACTCTGACTGGCTTCTTTGCTCCCAGCTTCCAGATGGTCTATTGTGGGACTTCACCTTGTGATCATGTGAGTCAATTCTCCTAATAAACTCCTCTTCATATATTCATCTATCCTATTAGTTCTGTCCCTATAGATAACCCTGACTAATACAGATGGGGTGTCGCCTTGCTGCCCAGTCTGGTCTTAAACCCCTGGGTTTAAGTGAGCCTCCCAAAGTGCTGGGATTACATGAATGAGCCATGGCGCCTGGCCTAGGTCAGCTATTATGGAAAAGATAAGAAATAACAAGTTCTGGTAAGGATGTGGAGGAAAAGGAATCCTTGCACACCATTGGTGGGAATAAAATTGGTACAGCCATTGTGAAAAGCAGTATGAAAATTCCTCAAAAAATTACAAACAGAACCATCATATGACCCAGAAATCCATTTTCTCAGTGTATACTGAAAGAAAATTAAATCAGCACCTCATAGAAGTAACTGCATTCCCATGTTCATTGCAGTGTTATTCAAAATAGTCAAGATATGAAAACAACTTAAGGTTTCATTGGTGAATTTACGGATAAAAAGTTGTAATATATATAAAAGTGAAATATTATTCAGCCTTAATCGAGAATAAAATACTGTTCTTGTGACAATGTGGAAGAAACTGGAGGACATTATACTAAATGTAATACATCTGAAACAGAAAGAATAATACTTCATAATGTCACTTATATGTGAAATCTTAAATAAACAAAAAAAAAGAAGTTGAAAACATAGAAATAGAAAGTACAACACTGGTTATCACAGATAAGGAGGGGGAAGAAATGGAGTAGGCTAAGTGGTATAAACTTACATTGATGCAGTTTGGATGAATATAGAAATCTAATGTGTACCATGAGAATTATAGTCAATAATATTGTATACAGGAAGTTTGATGTAAATGTGGATTTTGGAAGCTCTTACCCAGGCGTGCGCACACATACACACACACAAGCACCTACGGAGGTGATGAATATGCTAATTTGCTTGAGAGCAGTGATTTCTTTACTATGTATGTGTATAACCAAACATCATGTGGTACAACTTAACTACAAACAATAAAATTACATTTTTTAAAAGGATAAAAATCCATTAGGGCTTCCCCATGCTTTAATTGGTCCCTGATGTTGAAATATTTTATTCCTCAGCCATTAATCATGTAAGTCTACAACTTTTATTAGCTACATTCCTGCTATCGGTTCAAATATATTTTTCAGCAAAAATAGAAACCACAAACAAAAGCAAAGCAGATTCCTTCCATGCATAGTATAGAGGAACTTTTTGGGTATAAGCTTTTGAGGACTATTCACTAAACCTCGTTTAAATGAACAATTTTTCAAGATGACAACAGAGACATTAAATATAATTAATCTTTCAGGTTATGCTGAATGTGTCACTTGAAAAAGGAAAAATAATTGATGTGTGAATAGGTAACAAACTATATTGAAAAACATGATCAAAGATTATGAAAATGTAGTTTATTCTCTGGCATGCTGCTTTCAGTTATATTCACTGAATTGTCCATTAGTTTATATTCTAGGACACAATTTTTATTTGCGATTTTTAATTGGACATTTTCTGCACCCATTTTGTTATATTTCAAAGATTGTGTTTGTTGTTGCTGCCATTATTAGTATCATAGAATGAAACCTTATTACTTTGAAATGCAAAATGTAGGAAATCGGTGGCTTTGAATCAATCGCTTCAGGACTATTTAAATATTTTGTTAAAATATTAAAATATATTTAGTTAAGAGTTAAAGTAGGTGTTTCAAATTCCACTGTTTACATTGACAAGTTTAATAAAGCTTTACTGAATAAATTTTTTTTTCTATTTATTCTAAAATCCTCATTCTTCAAAAGTTTGTCTTTATATTGTATTCTTTCTCTTTGTCACTTGACTAATAAACTTTATCTTTACTGTGGGTCTTTGAAATATATCTAGCAACCATTATTTTTACTAGTATCCTATTTGTTGTATGCACGCAATGATTGTTATTGTATTAGAGAAAACGTATTTTATTATTTCTTTAAAGATTCAGTTTCTGAAACTAAAGAAAGTTATAAAAGTATGTGACTTTCTATTAGTTTACATACATTAGCGTGTTTTATGCAATTATACTGATATAAATAATGCAAAAAAGAACAATTTTCTACAACTGCAAATAATCTACATATCTTTCTTTCATTTTTTTCTTTTTCTTTTTTTCTTATTTCTTCTAGCAAAGCATTTTTGTAGCCAAACTTACTTTAGGTATGTCTATTTTCTTACATGAACTTTCTTAAAATTAACATAAAGTCAAAGAAAACAACACCACCAAAACTTGTGTGGCTATGCAGGAAACCCAAAAATTTTCTGCAAACACTGTATATACTTTATTACAAAGGTAGAATTTTTTCCCCAACCCTGGCAACTACAAAATATTTACACATAAATTTTCATAAATTGACAAGATTTCACGTGATGGCTGCTGTCTAATGATTATATTTTTCCTCATTAAGAATATTGAATTTTAAATTTCTTTCTCAAGTGTTAGGAAAAATATTGACTCCAGTTTTACCAAAAAGTTTGTACAGTTTTTTTGGATTAGATCTTCAGAACAGATTAAGCAATAAATAATATACTTATATCCTAGAGTAACACAAATAAAATAATTTTGAACCTGGATTCTAGCTTATAAGATATTCAACAACATTGATCTTTCAAAAAGTGTCAACTGAGCTGTAAACTTTAGTTTCAGACAAATAATAAACCCAGGGGACTCAGGATTCATTTAAAATCCTGGCTAAATGTCCATATCAGAAAGCTAGAAAGATCTCAAATCAACACCGTAACATCACAATTAAAAGAGCTAGAGAACCAAAGACAAACAAATCCCAAAGCTAGCAGAGGACAAGAAATAACTAAGATCAGAGGAGGCCTGAAGGACATATGAAAGCCCTCCAAAATATCAGTAAATCCAGGAGCTGGTTTTTTGAAAAAATTAACAAAATAGATAGACTGCTAGCTAGACTAATAAAGAAGAAAAGAGAGAATAATCAAATAGACATAATACAAAAATGTTAAAGGGGTATCATGAATGACCCCACAGAAATACAAACTGCTGTCAGAGAATACTATAAACACCTCTACTCAAATAAACTAGAAAATTTAGAAGAAATGGATAAATTCCTGGACACATACACCCTTTCGAGACTAAATCAGAAAGAAGTCGACTCTCTGAATACCAATAACAAGTTCTAAAATCGAGGCGTAATTAATAGCCTACCAACCAAAAAAAGTCCAGAAGCAGATGGATTCACAGCTGAATGCCGCTAGAGTTACAAAGAGGAGCTGGTACCATTCCTTCTGAAACAATTCCAAACAATTTAAAAGGAGAGACTCCCTCCTAACTCATTTTATGAGGCCAAAATCATCCTCATACCGAAACCTGGCAGAGACACAACAAAAAAAGAAAACTTCAGGCCAAAATCCTTGATGATCATTGATGTGAAAATCCTGAATAAAACACTGGCAAAATGAATCCAGCAGCACATCAGCAAGCTTATCCACCACAATCAAGTTGGCTTCATCCCTGGGATGCAAGGCTGGTTCAACATACACATATCAATAAACATAATCCATCACATAAACAGAGTCAATGAAAAAAAAACACATGATTATTTCAACAGATGCAGAAAAACCCTTCAATAAAATTCAACATCCCTTCATGTTAAAATCTCTCAATAAACTAGGTATTGATTAATCATATCTCAAAATAACAAAAACTGCCACAAACACACAGCCAATATACTGAATGGGCAAAAGCTGGAGGCATTCAGGAGAAACAAGAAAGGAAAATAAATTGAAAATTCACAACCCATCTCCTCAGCTGCAGAACTTAAAGCCCTCTTCCTTGGCAATACTCGTCGTCTCACTGATTGGCTTTCTGTGCAGTGAGCAGTTAAACCTAGACCAAACCCCTGGTGTTTCAGTAACATTCTAGGCCTCTGTTATTGTTAACATTATTTCTGACCTTCTTGTACAAGTCTCCCATTGTCCTGTGTAAGAGTTTCCCTTGAACATATTCCTAGGAGTGGAATTGCTGTGCTATGGGTTATGTGAATGGTTGATTGCAGGAAATAATAAAACTGATTTAACCAATTTACTTCTCCATCAGCAATGTATAAGTTCCTGTCCATTTATATATTCTCCAATAATTTTTAAGCCTTTTAGTTATTTTCTGTGTCAATAGCCGACTTGTCTCCAAGAAGCAGTGGAGGCTGATGCCCTTAATACTATTATGGACTGAGCTGATTTGAGACTGGATTGAAGTTTCATTAAAGGTTAGTCTCCCTCTGGCTCAAACTTGTTTAGAGGGAAGAATACCCCATGGCTTTCAAGTGAGATCTTGGTCTTTCAAGAGGTCCTCTTCCCTTGGTAGGGAACTGTAATATGTATTCCTCAGCCCTGGAATACTAACAATAACACTCATTCTCATTTATAGATGTCTTTAACATAGCTTTATTAACCATTTGTTATATGTGGCTTCAGGATTTCACAAATTGGATGAATATCATTTTGCAAATTTAACTACATGGAAACCATGTAGTAAAGGCCCATTAAGTTTTTGATCTTGTTTTCTCTGTGCTAAGCAACTACACAAAACTGTTTGTTTCTCTTTATCCAGCAGCAACCCTGAGCAAAAGGGGCCCCTCTGTGTCACAAATCTGCAAATGCCGCCCCAATAAAAGTAGGTGCAAAACATTATCTATTTTATTTCTGTTTTCTAGGTCTCTATGGTCCCCATTGCTTCTGTAGTTCTTCAATGCCATTGAAAATGGTTTCGTATTTTCTGGCTTTTATAACTGCTTAGATCTATTGCAAACAACTCAATCCAACACAGACTAGGAAGTCTCCTTTTAATTTTAAGTTTTATTATGCTAATTTTACATTATGGTCTGTGATTTTAACATCCACTGTATTTATTTTTGTCCTTTTTGAGGTGTCTCCTCTTCATAAATATCACATATTTTGGTCTGTGAACTCATTTTCTTCCAGTGGAGTGTCAGCTTTTGCCAGCCACGTTTATCAGGTAATGTTTGACCTTTGTGTCATCCCATAAAGTGCATGATGGATAAACTGCATGAAAAGATCTATAATAATAAGCCTTTGGACCTCATAAAAATACTAAAGTTAAGCATTCCTTATCTGACTAAACTAACTAGCCAGGGAGATTTTGAATGAAGAGACATTTCTTAGATTGTAATTAACCATCCCTGGAAGTTTAGACAGTCAGGATAAGTAAGTGACTGCCTTTGGTAACTAAATCTCCACTTGTTTTCTTGGTTTCTGATAACTGTCCTTAGTGAACCTGAACCATGCGTAATTTACAGAATGGCACACACACTGTCTTTTTCAGGGCAATGTCAAAGGCTAGGAAGAATAAAGGAGGAACAACAGTAACAACATCAGAAAGAGAAACAAAATTCACATATCTTATCTTCCCCTTACACAGCTGTTCAAAATAATCTCTGACTGTATTACTCCAGGGTTTTCTCACATTTTCTTTCTTTATTTTTTCTTAACTGCAGTTCCTCAGAGAACAATCTTGATGGAGATGGAGAGAGATGGCAGCTGTACTAGTTTGGAGTTCTGGTAAGATCCTTTTTCGTTCACTATTTGATTTATGCTGAATATTATGCTCCTGAGAGTCATCCTTGTGGATGGGGTAGCTGTATTTGTTTTCTTTTCCTTCCGTAAGATATTCCAATGTATGACTTTAACAACAAGCGTTTCCATAGTCTTCTGATTGATGAAATGTTTGGTTGTTTCCTCCTTTTAAAAAATATACTGCAATTTGGGAGGCCGAGGTGGGTGGATCACGAGGTCAGGAGATCAAGGCCATCCCGGCTAACACAGTGAAACCCCTTCTCTACTAAAAAAAAATACAAAAAATCAGTCAGGCATGGTGGCTGGCACCTGTAGTCCCAGCTACTCAGGAGGCTGAGGCAGGAGGATGGCATGAACCCAGGAGGCCGAACTTGCAGTGAGCCAAGATCGCACCATTGCACTCCAGCCTGGGGACACAACCAGACTCTGCCTCAAAAAAAAAAAAAAATACTGCAATGGACAATTTTATGTTTATATTCTGGTGCACGTGTCGATGTTCAGGCATTTCATAAGTTATCTAGAACTGGAAGAGCTAATCTATGATGTGCATGTAATCAACTTTGCCTGGCACTGGCAACTTGTATTTCCTGGCATCTGCAGCAGTTAATATCTTGCCCATGCCAGGTGTGCATAAAATTTCCTCTTCTCTATATTCTTGCAGAAATTTTGGGTTGATTTCAATTTTCAGCTCATTAACTCATTATTTGACATGATTTCATTATGACTTGATTTTGTATTTCCTAGTTAATAAGAAGTTTGATCATCATCATATCTGTGTATTATCCAATTTATTTTTCTGAAAAGTGCCTGATCTTTTAATTTGACTATCTTATTTTTGGATTATGCGTATGACTCTTATCAATTTGTGGGATTTTAAAGTATATTTTGGATGGTGATTCTGTTTTTAAAATTTTTTTGTTACTTTCAATTTTGTGGGCACATAGTAGGTACCTCAATATATAGGGCACATGCAATTTTTTGATATAGCCATCCAATGTGAAATAATTGTAGTTTGGAGAATGGGGTATCCATCTCCTCAAACATTTATCTTTTGTGTTACTAACTGATATGGTTTGGCTCTGTGTCTCCACCCAAATCTCACCTGAAATGTAATAACTCCTATGTGTCAAGGGCAGGACCAGGTGGAAGTAATTGAATCATGGGGGTGGTTTCCCCCATGCTGTTCTCATGACAGTGAATGAGTTCTCATGAGATCTGATGTTGTTATAAGGGGCTTTTCCTGACACTTTGCGTGGCACTTCTCTTTCCTGCCACCATGTGAAGAAGGATGTATTTTTCCCTTTCCACTATGATTGTAAGTTTCCTGAGGCCTCCCCAGCTAAGTCAATTATATCTCTTTTCTTTATAAATTACCCAGTTTTGGACAGTTCTTTATAGCAGCACGCTAATACGCAACTAATACACAAACAATCCAGTTACACCCTTTTAGTTATTTTAAAATATACAGTTATTATTTACTATAATCACCCTGTTGTGCTATCAAATAATAGGTCTTATTCATTCTTCTAATTTTTTGTACTCATTAACCATCCCCACTTACCCTTCTAGCACCTACTACCCTTTGTAGCCTCCAGCAACCATTCTTCTGCTCTCTATGAGTTCAATTGTTTTGAATTTAGAGCCCAGAAATAAGTGAGAACATGTGATGTTTGTCTTTCTGTGCCTGGCTTCTTTCCCTTAATATAATGACCTCCAGTTAATCCATATTGTTCCAAATAACCGGGTATCATTATTTTTGTGGTAGAATAGTACTCCATTGTGAATATGTACCACATTTTCGTTATCCATTCATCTGTTGATTGACACCTGGGTCACTTTCAAATCTTGAATATGTACCACATTTTCGTTATCCATTCATCTGTTGATTGACACCTGGGTCACTTTCAAATCTTCACTATTGTGAATAGTTTTACAATAAACAGGAGTGCAGACACCTCTTTGATATACTGATTTTTTTTCTTTTGGGAATACACCTAGCAGAAACATCCCTGGATCCTCTGGTAGCTCTGTTTTTTCTTTTTTTCTTTTGCAGGGGGGAGCCTCCAAACTGTTCTTCATAGTGGTTGTATGAATTTACATTTCCATCATCAGTGTTTGAGGGTTTGTTATTGCCTGTCTTTTTGATATAAACCATTTTAACTGGGGTGAGATGATATCTCACTGCAGTTTTGATTTGCATATCTGTGATGATAAATGATGTTGAGCACCTTTTCATATGCCTGTTTTCCACTGCTATGTCTTCTTTGGAGAAATGTCTATTCAAATATTTCACCTATTTTTGATCAGATTATTATGTATTTTTTTGCTATAGAGTTGTTTCTTATCCTTGTATATTCGAGTTACTACTAATCCCTTACCAGATTAGTTTGCAAATATTTTCTCCCAGTCTGTGGTATGATGAAAGTTCTTGAAGAGTCTTATCTTTTGCAAATAACTTCTTCTGGTTTGCACCTTTATTCTTCACCCTTTTTATGGTATCCATTAATGAAATAAATTTTTACGGAGTCACTTCCAAGATCATCAAATAGGAACAGCTCTGGTCTACAGCTGCCAGTGAGATTGACATAGAAGATGGGTGATTTCTGCATTTCCAACTGAGGTACCTGGTTCATCTCATTGGGACTGGTTGGACAGTGGGTGCAGCCCACAGGGGGCAAGCTGAAGCAGGGCAGGGCATCACCTCACCCAGGAAGTGCAAGGGATCAGGGGATTTCCCTTTCCTAGCCAAGGGAAGCCATGAGTGACTGTATCTAGAGAAGCAGTACACTCCTGTCCAAATACTGCACTTTTCCCATGGTCTTCACAACCAGCAGACCAGAAGATTCCCTCCTGTGCCTGGCTCGGCGGGTCCCAAGCCCACGGAGCCTTGCTCACTGCTAGCGCAACAGTCTGAGATCAACCTGGGATGCTGAAGTTTGGTGGGGTGAGGGGCGTCCACCATTGCTGAGGCTTGAGTAGCTGGTTCTATGCTCAGAGTGTAAACAAAGCAGCAGGGAAGCTCAAACTGGGCAGAGGCCACTGCAGCTCAGCAAGGCCTACTGCCTCTCTAGATGTCACCTCTGGGGGCAGGGCATATCTGAACAAAAGGCAGCAGACAGTTTCTCCAGATTTAAATGTCCCTGCCTGACAGCTCTGAAGAGAGAAGCAGTTCTCCCAGCATGGCGTTCAAGCTGCAATAACAGACAGACTGCTTCCTCAAGTGGGTCCCTGACACCCATGTAGCCTGACTGGGAGACACCTCCCAGTAGGGGCCAACTGACACCTCATACAGACAGGTGCCCCTCTGGGACAAAGCTTCCAGAGGAAGGATCAGGCAGCAATATTTGCTGTTCTGCAGCCTCTGCTGGTGATACCCAGGCAAACAGTGTCTGCAGTGGACCTACAGAAAACTCCCAACAGACCTGCAGCTGAGGGGCCAGTCTGTCAGAAGGAAAACTAACAAACAGAAAGGAATAGCATCAACATTAACAAAAAGGACATCCACACCAAAACCCCATTCGTAGATCACCAACATCAAAGACCAAAGGTAGATAAAAACCACAAAGATGGGGAGAAACCAGAGAAGAAAGGCCGAAAATTCCAAAAACCAGAACACCTCTTCTCCTCAAAGAAACACAACTGCTTGCCAGCAAAGGAACAAAACTGGATGGAGAATGAGTTTGACTAGTTGACAGAAGTAGGCTTCAGAAGGTAAGTAGGAACAAACTTCTCCGAGCTAAAGGAGCATGTTCTAACCCATTGCAAGGAAGCTAAAAACCTTGAAAAAAAGGTTAGATGAATGGCTAACTAGAATAACCAGTGTAGAAAGAGCTTAAATGACCTGAAGGAGCTGAAAACCACAGTAAGAGAACTTGGTGAAGCATACACAAGCTTCAATAGCCAATTCAAACAAGCAGAAGAAAGCATATCAGTGACTGAAGATCAAATTAATGAAATAAAGTGAGAAGATAAGATTGGAGAAAAAAGAGTGAAAAGAAATGAACAAAGCCTCCAGGAAACATGGGACTATGTAAAAAGACCAAATCTACATTTGATTGGTGTACCTGAAAGTGACAGGGAGAATGGAACCAAGTTAGGAAACACACTTCAGGATATTGCCCAGGAGAACTCCCCCAACCTAGCAAGGCAGGCCAAAATTCAACTTCACGAAATACAGAGAACACCACAACGATACTCCTCGAGAAGAGCAACCCCAAGACACAATTGTCAGATTCACCAAGGTTGAAATGAAGGAAAAAATGTTAAGGGCAGCTAGAGAGGAAGGTCCAGTTACCCAAAAAAAGAAGCCCATCAGACTAACAGCGGATCTCTCTGCAGAAACCCTAAGAGCCAGAAGAGAGTGGGGGACAATATTCAACATTCTTAAAGAAAAGAATTTTCAACCCAGAATTTCATATCCAGCCAAACTAAGCTTCATAAGTGATGGAGAAATAAAATCCTTTAGAGACAAGCAAATGCTGAGAGATTTTATCACCACCAGGCCTGCCTTACAAGAGCTCCTGAAGGAAGCACTAAACATGGAGAGGAAAAACTGGTACCAGCCACTGCAAAAACATGCCAAATTATAAAGACCATTGACACTATGAAGAAACTGCATCAATTAGTGAGCAAAATAACCAGCTAGCATCATAATGACAGGATCAAATTCACACATAACAATATTAACCTTAAATGTAAATGGGCTAAATGCCCTAATTAAAAGACACAGACTGGCAAATTGGACAAAGAGTCAAGACCCATTGGTGTGCTGTATTCAGGAGACCCACCTCATGTGCAAAGACACACATAGGTTGAAAATAAAGGGATGGAGGAAGATTTACCAAGCAAATGGAAAGCAAAAAGAAAGCAGGGGTTGCAATCCTAGTCTCTGATAAAACAGACTTTAAACCAACAAAGATCAAAGGAGACAAGGCCACTAAATAATGGTAAAGGGATAATGCAACAAGAAGAGCTAACCATCCTAAATATAAATCCAACCAATACAGGAGCACCCAGATTCATAAATCGAGTTCTTAGAGACCTACAAAGAGACTTAGGCTCCCTCACAATAAAAGTGGGAGACTTTCACACCCCACTGTCAATATTAGACAGATCAACAAGACAGAAAATGAACAAGGATATCCAGGACTTGAACTCAGCTCTGGACCAAGCGGACCTAATAGACAGCTACAGAAATCTCCACCCCAACTCAACATAATATATATTCTTCTGAGTACCACATTGCACTTATTCTAAAATTGACCACATAATTGGAAGTAAAGCACTCCTCAGCAAATGCAAAAGAACAGAAATCACAACAAACAGTCTCTCAGACCACAGTGCAATGAAATACGAACTCAGGATTAAGAAACTCACTCAAAACCGCATAGCTACATGGAAACAGAACAATGCTCATGAATGACTACTGGGTAAATAATGAAATTAAGGCAGAAATACAGATGTTCTTTGAAACCGATAAGAACAAAGACACGATGTACCAGAATCTCTGGGACACATTTAAAGCAGTGTGTAAAGGGAAATTTATAGCACTAAATGCTTATAAGGGAAAGCAAGAAAGATCTAAAATCGACACCCTGACATCACAATTAAAAGAACTAGAGACGCAAAAGCAAACAAATTCAAAAGCTAGCAGAAGACAAGAAATAACTAAGATGAGAACAGAACTGAAGGAGATAGAGACAGAAAAAACCCTTCAAAAAATCAATGAATCCAGGAGCTGGTTTTTTGAAAAGATCAACAAAATAGATACACCATTAACAAGACTAATAAAGAAGATATGAGAGAAGAATCAAATAGACACAATAAAAAATGATAAAGGGGATATCACCACTGATCCCAAAGAAATACAAACTACCATCAGCGAATACTGTAAACACCTCTATGCAAATAAACTAGGAAATCTAGGAGAAATGGATAAATTCCTGGACACATATACCCTCCCAAGACTAAACCAGGAAGAAGTTGAATCTCTGAATAGACCAATAACAGGTTTGAAATTGAGGCAATAATTAATAGCACACCAATTAAATAAAGCCCAGGACCAGATGGATTCACAGCTGAATTCTACTAGAGGTATGAAGAAGAGCTGCTATCACCTTCTGAAACTATTCCATTCAATAGAAAAAGAGGGAATTCTTCCTAACTCATTTTATGAGGCCAGCATCATCCTGATACCAAAGCCTGGTAGAGACACAACAAAAAAAGACAATTTTAGGCCAATATCCCTGATGAACATCGATGCGAAAATCCTCAATAAAATACTGGCAAACTGAATCCAGCAGCACATCAAAAATCTTATCCACCACGATCAAGTCAGCTTCATCCCTGGGATGCAAGTCTGGTTCAACACACAAAAATCAATAAACTTAATCCATCACATAAACAGAACCAATGACAAAAACCACATGATTATCTCAAAAGATGCAGAAAAGGCATTCAACAAAATTCAACAGCCTTTCATGCTAAAAACTCAATAAACTAGGTATCGACGGAACCTATCTCAAAATAATAAGAGCTACTTATGACAAACCCACAGCCAATATCATATTGAATGGGCAAAAACTGGAAGCATTCCCTTTGAAAACTGGCACAAGACAAGGATGCCCTCTCTCACCACTCCTATTCAACATAGTATCAGAAGTTCTAGCTAGGGCAATCAGGCAAGAGAAAGCAATAAAGGATATTCAAATAGGAAGAGAGGAAGTCAAATTGTCTCTGTTTGCAGATGACATGATTGTATAATTAGAAAATCCTATCGTCTCAGCCCAAAATCTCCTTAAGCTGATAAGCAACTTCAGCAATGTCTCAGGATACAAAATCAATGTGCAAAAATCACAAGCATTCCTATACACCAATAATAGACTAACAGAGAGCCAAATCATGAGTGAACTTGCATTCACAATTGTTATTAAGAGAATAACATACCTAGGAATATAACTTACAAGGGATGTGAAGGAGCTCTTCAAGGAGAACTACTAAACGCTGCCCAAGAAAATTAGAGAGGACACAAACAAATCGAAAAACATTTCATGCTCATGGATAGGAAGAATCAATATCATGAAAATGTCCTTACTACCCAAAGTAATTTATAGATTCAATGCTATCCCCATCAAGCTACCACTGACTTTCTTCACAGAATTGCAAAAAAACTACTTTAAAATCCATATGGAACCAGAAAAGAGCCCACATAGCCTAGACAATCCTAAGCAAAAAGAACAAAGCTGGAGGCATCATACTACCTGACTTCAAACTACACTACAAGGCTACAGTAACCAAAACAGCATGGTACTGGTACCAAAACAGATATATAGACCAATGGGACAATACAGAGGCCTCAGAACACATCTACCACCATCTGATCTTTGACAAACTTGACACAAACAAGCAATGGAGAAAGGATTCTATTCAATAAATGTTGTTGAAAAAGCTGGCTAGCCATATTTAGAAAGCTGAAAGTGGATCCCTTCCTTACACCTTATACAAAAATTAACACAAGATGGATTAAAGATATAACTCTTTAATCCAAGATGGAATAAAGACATAAAACCATAAAAACCCTGGAAGATAACCTGGGCAACACCATTCAGGACATAGGCATGGGCAAAGACTTCATGACTAAAACACCAAAAGCAACGGAAACAAAAGCCAAAATTGACAAATGGGATCTAATTAAACTAAAGAGCTTCTGCACAGCAAAAGAAACTATGATCAGAATGAACAGGCAACCTACAGAATGGGAGAAAATTTTTGCAATCTATCCATCTGACAAAGGGCTAATATTCAGAATCTACAAAGAACTTAAACAAATTTACAAGAAAAAAGCAAACAACCCCATCAAAAAATGGGCAAAGCATATGAACAGACACTTCTCTGAAGAAGACATTTATGCAGCCGATAGACATATGAAAAAATGCTCATCATCACTCTTCCTTAGAGAAATGCAAATCAAAAAAATCAAAACCGCAATGAGATACCATCTCACGCCAGTTAGAATGGCGATCATTAAAAAGTCAGGAAACAACAGATGCTGGAGAGGTTGTGGAGAAATAGGAACGCTTTTACACTGTTGGTGGGAGTGTAAATTAGTTCAACCATTGTGGAAGACAGTTTGGCGATTCCTCAAGGATCTAGAACTAGAAATACCATTTGATCCAGCAATCCGATTACTGGGTATACACCCAAAGATTATAAATCATTCTTAGATAAAGACACATGCACACGTATGTTTATTAGCGCACTATTCACAATAGCAAAGAGTTGGAACCAACTCAAATGCCCATTCATGATAGACTGGATTAAGAAAATGTGGTACATATACACCATGGAATACTATGCAGCCATAAAAAAGGATGAGTTCATGTCCTTTGCAGGGACCTGAATGAAGCTGGGAATCATCATTCTCAGCAAACCATCACAAGATCAGAAAACCAAATGCCACATGTTCTTACTCATAAGTGGGAGTTGAACAATGAGAACACATGGACACAGGGAGGGGAATATAACACACTGAGGCCTGTCAGCAGGGGGGTGGCTAGGGGAGGGATAACATTAGGATAAATACCTAGGAGAACATTAGGAAACCCATAGGTGACAGGTTGATTGGTGTATCAAACCACCATGGCATGTGTATACTTATGTAACAAAACTGCACGTTCTGCACATATAACCCAGAACTTAAAGTATAATAATTCTAAAAATTTACATTTATTTTATACATATTTACCAGTCTCTTTTTCTCTATCCTGTACATTTTTGTCTTCTGAAAAAGTTGCCCTATATTAAAATTAAAAGACATTTTCTATAACTTTTCTAAATATTTAAAAATGTTGCTATCCACATGTAAGAATTTGGTTATTCAATAATTTATTTTTGTATTTTGATTGAAGTTATAATGGTCATTAGTCTTTTAAAATTTTTCCATATAAGTTAAAAAATCAACCCACTATAATTTATTAGCTACTTTGCCTTTCTCCACTAATGAACTGTCTCTGATTTAAATATATCAAAGTATGTATCACACACACACATACACACACAAACACACACATACAACTTCTAGAATTTAAGTCTATTGTACTTATCTTTTTATTGTTTCATTAATAGCACATTATCCTCATTTAAATGACTCTATAATAAACATTTATATCTACTAGAACTAGTTTCCCCTCCTGGTTAGTTTTCAGGAGTACCTTGAAACTTTATAACCCTTTGATATTCCATAGCAATTTTAAAATCTAATGATCTAAGTCCATAAAAAAACACAATGGTAGTTTGCTTTCAATTACATTAAATCTATACATTATTTTGACATGTAGACAAATAGCAATTCGATTTTTATGATATTGCATTTTCCACTCTATGAACATCCTATATCTCTCATTTTTTAAGATTTTATATTTTAAAGTCATTTATATTGTTTTACATATATTTGCTAGGTTTCTAGATATGCTTATGTACCACTGATTTCGTTTTGATATTTTCAATTCTATATATGTGTATGTGTATCTGTGTATGTGTATGATGCACTCACTTTCTACTGGAGAGGCAAATATGTATACATACGTGTGTTGTGTGTGTGTGTGTGTGTGTGTGTGTGTGTGTCTGTGTGTACGCATTTCTTGTTTGCTACCAGGGTATATAGAAATGCAGAAATTCCATTAAAATTTGCTAAACTTTTTCGTTAATTATAACTTGATCTTATACCCCTCTTGCTTTTCTGTATCTACAGGATAATATAATATGCAAGTAAGGGCAGTTTTAAAGTTTCTTTTCATTAACAATACAGAAATTCATGTATATTGAATTTCCAGGATCTCAGCTTTCGGTCTCTTAGCTGCCTTCCAAATCTCAGGCATAGCCTTTGTAGCATGGCCAAGCACTTAGCTAGTTAAAACCACGGCTCTGGGCCAACAAAGACTGGCAGACAGTCCAAAGACAAACACACAAAAAACTGGCTTCAACACTAGGTTACCCCATAGGGATTTTTTCTTTCGTGTTATTTTTGGCATCCGATGAATTTCTTTCCATTCCTGCAGTTAAAAACACCTCTAAAAAAGATAATGTATGATGCAGGAATGAGCGTGAGTAACTGAATGGCAATATCTTGGTTGGATCTGAAAGAAAATAGCATACAAATAAAAAATGAAGGAGTAGTCCTTAGACAGATGTACAGATATGACATCTAAAAAAACAGAGGAAAGGTGAGAAATAGGGATATCAATATGCTGATTTATGTAATTGATAATCAGAGCATGGCTGGAACCTGTGGCCTTTTTCTGTGGCCCTTGCTGATTTCAGCCTGAGGGTTTTCATGGAATTACCTTGAATGTCCCTTCTATTTAGTCTCTGGTGGGGTTTTTCTTCTCTTGTGGTGGTTTTCAGGTAACAATTTCAGGCCCCATGTCTTAAATTTTCTGAAAAATGATGGTCATTATATATTTGGTTTTCAATACTGATATGGATATTTCCACTTTAGTGATATATTTTCAAAGCTTTTCAAAAAACAAACAAACAAAAACCTAGGAGTAAAGGTACTTAAATGTATGAATTTAAATCGTTAAATCAAAATTTTTTTCTACTATACTGATCTTTCCTCAGTGGGGTTGAGTAAACATAAGCTTCAGTTCAGCATAGTAAAGATAGTTTGTCCCAGGAGGTGCCAGACTATACTTTTTTTATTGTTGTAAGAGGAGCATATAATATTCTAGTGACTATGGAACTTTGTGCATTGCATTTCACATCTTTACATCTTGGTTTCTCCATCTGTAAAATATAGTGTTTTAGCTTGATGATCTTTAAAATCACTACCAGATCTCACATTCACAAAGGCATGTAATTTTGGAGTTGGAACTCAAAGCCAGATTTGTTTGATTCTAAGTCTATATCCCACTCTGTCCTGCTGTTCATTCCTTATGGAATTTGGTAAATAAACCAACTGCAATGAAGTGAAATTTGTAAATGAATGTCTGAAGCTAAATTTTGTGCCAATCTTTTGATGATTGTAGTTTGAACTGTTTTGTTAATTGGGCAAATATACTCTAATTTATAATTATTTCAAAGTGAGACCATCTGTTTAATGAATTAAAAAATGAAATGCAGGGCAAACATAGTTCTTTCATCTCATTATTTCTGAAACTTTTTGGGAGATGATTAAGTCCTACAACTTGCAAACCGTTTGTAATTCTTGTCTTAGTTTCCTTTTTTTTTTTTTTTCATTTTTTTCTTGACCGTTCTATCTCCCAGGAGCAAAATGACAAATTCAGATTCCAAAAATTTCAGCCATTATACACATTTATTTAAGCATACATATAATTGATAATTTACAACATTTCTGAAAGAATAGAAAACATATAGTTTCCTATAGCTTTAGAATGAGAGCAAGTTGCTCATATTAGTTCATATTAATAGTATTTTGTCTTTGTAACAAGAAATGATTAGTTTCACTTCCAACATTTTTGATAAAATATTCATTAGTCATTTATTTCAGGTTTTAATGAGTCAGGAAATTGGGTCTCGTTTGCTAATGTTAAGCATTATTTAAGCACAGGCTCTTGAGCAGAAGAGTGCTATGTAAGTTCACTCCTATCGTGATAAGAACAACTTCTTATAGCCAATATGAAGTAGAAGTTGTATGAAGTACAAATAGTCACGAGATACGGGTTCATAACTAGGTCACTCAGCAATCATCCCACTGTGCAAGCTGCACCTCTTTTTAGCAAACTTTATTTTCTTAAGTTTTAAATGTTTGTTTAATCAATGGCAACTTTTTATTTTAATCTTAGATACCAGTGGTTTATTAGAGGTATAGAAAAGCCCATTTACTAGCCACATAAGGTCTCATATGCCAGAAGCTTAAGTCAAAACAAACCATTTTCTCATTCATTGTGAAAAAAATATTTCATTATTTTCAAACCAATTTTACTCTCAGGTTTTGTTTGTTTGTTTGTTTGTTTGTTTAGACAGTGTCTCGCTCTGTCGCCAGGCTGGAGTGCAGTGGCATGATCTTGGCTCACTGCAACCTCCACCTCCCGGGTTCAAGCGATTCTCATGCCTCAGCTTCCTGAGTAGCTGGGATTACAGGTGCACCCCACCATGCCCAGCTAATTTTTGTATTTTTAGTAGAGACGGGGTTTCACCATGCTGGCGAGGATGGTCTCGATCTCTTGACCTCGTGATCCGCCCGCCTCGGCATCTCAAAGTGCTAGGATTACAGACGTGAGCCACTGGGCCTGGACCTACTCTCTGTTTTTATCTGATGATACTGCTGAAATTAAGAATATGATATTTGACATCTGATTATTTCTTAAGCAGAAGAGTACTAATATTTCACCTCTGCTTGTCCTCCCCTGGCAAACCTTCCCATTGTGAAAAGGGAGTAGTTCTTTCCTTTAAACAGGAAGTTTCAAAAAGTGAGGGGTGGAGGTGTTTGGTGAGGAGGGTAATGCAGCCTTCATTCCAAGATCCAATTTATCCTTAGCTCTAGGGGAAGAATTTATGTTCCATGGCTACAACTGATGAGGTTGGCTGCTCTTATTATGTTTTAATGTCCACTGCAGACATATAGAAAATTGCTACAATTCTCCTTAGAAGCTAATCTCTGGCCTTAAATAGTGACTCAAAGTAGGTAGGGTGCTTAAATTGTTAAGGCTGGACAGTTTAAGATAAGAAAATCTTATTATATTTCCAAAGAAATAGAAATGTCTATTTGATACTTGACTTCATCTCTAATTTTCTATCTTCTCCTTTTAATGAGGAATAATATTTCTGAAAAGTTATACGTGAATTATTTTTTAAATTTGAGGATTCAGTTGCACTAGATAGCTTATAATTTAAAAGAATCCCTCTTCAAAGTAAGAATTGATTTTGAACAATCATCTTCTGTGTGTCTCTTCTGTCCAAATATTCCTAGGTTAATAGAGCTTGACATTCTATTTTTTAATTTCCTCAATTATGGAATTAGTTTGAATGTATTATAAAATTAAGCAGTATATCTCCAGGTAAAACTCAAAATAATGGCTACAGGTCGATTATGATCATCACATACGACATTTTCTCAAATTAATTACCTAAAATTACTACTGCTAAAAATAGAATTCTCCAAAAGGCAAAACCACGATTCACATGGAAATAAAAATGAATATGTATCAAAGATTCAGTTCAACTTAAAGAAAATAATTAGTGTGGGTTACTAATAAATGCTGAATTTGAGATGAAACTGGTTAATGTTCATAGTATCATAAATATGCTTTTTGGGGTTATCTGTTCCATTGAATAGAACTTTGTTGCATCTCTGTTAAACAAAAGTATAGAAATTAAACTCTGTCTACCGAATTGTAAAATAACGCAGAAAATAGGAAATCAAGTCCTGTCCTTCAGTGAAAGAACCCAAAGTAATCTTTTTTGCCTATTTCTAAGGACTGAATTTGTTTTCTGGCAAATTTCTTTTATATAACTTCCAGAACCTTCAAAGCATCAAATAACCATGAGGAGAATATAGATTTAGTATACAAAGACCTTTGAGAAATAGAGAAAACAGAAAAATGAAAATAACAACAATACCAATTCCATTTGACTTCGGTGAAGAATAAATGAGAAAATGTGTATAAATATCAGTGCATTTGCTGGTATGTATTGAGCATTCATTAAATATTAGATGTTTTAAACTTGGACAAATGTTGTCAAGATTCATTGTTTTGCCCAGCTTTACATTCAAATACCATTTATAATCTTAATAAACACGTATAAGGAGTACCTATGGTGGATCGTTTTCTCCCTATTTGCCCAAACTTGATAGTTGTCCTTTTTGTGGTTTTAGACTTATTATTAGTTGATAAATCCAAATAAAAAGTCTATTTATCCTGTAAGAAAAGGATGTTGAGGTCTAAGATTGTGAGTTGGCTCGGCGTGGTGGCTCACGCCTGTAATCCTAGCACTTTGGGAGGCCGAGGTGGGTGGATTGCCTGAGCTCAGGAGTTCGAGACCAGCCTAGCAACAGGGTGAAACCCAGTCTCTACTAAAATACAAAAAATTAGCCGGTCATGGTGGCATGCGCCTGTAATCCCAACTACTTGGGAGGTTGATACAGGAGAATCACTTGAACCTGGGAGGTGGAGCTTGCAGTAAGCTGAGATGGCATCACTGCTGCACTCCAGCCTGGGTGACAGAGCGAGACTCCATCCCCCCACCCACCCCCCACCAAACAAAAAAAAAAAGATTGTGAGTCATTGACATTAGGCTTGCACATTATTTAATTATTTATTCATTATTACTGAGTAGCAATAGATCACTTAATACTAAATCTCAGAGTCCTTGTTTCAGGTTGGGGATAACTTATATAGCAGCCAAACAAATAACAGAATTTTATTTTTCAGTAGCAAGTTATTGGTAATATGATTAATTCGTGCAATGTGAAGTCCTGGTTTCTGTAGGATAGCAGAAATCACTGTGCTTGTGTATGTGTGTATTTTTCCATAGAGAAAAAGTTAGCAGACATATGTTTCACAAATTCCTAGGACTACCATAACAAATATACAATAGACTGGGTGGCTTAAACAAGAAAAATATATTTTCCCACATTTCTAGAGGCTAGAAGTCCAAGATCAAGGTGTCAGAAGGTTTGGTTTATTCCGAGGCCTCTCTCCTATCTTACAGCTGGCCACCTTCTCGCCGTGTCCCCAGAAGGTATTTTCTCTATGCACATGTACCTCTGATACCTCTAATTTTCTCTTCTTGTAAGGATACCAGACATATGGAATTAAGGCCCACCAATACGATCTCATTTTATCAAAATACCTTGTAAAGTTTCTATTTCCAAATGCAGTCACCTTCCGTAATACTAAAGGCTAAGTCTTCAACATATAAATTTGCACAGACACAATTCAGCCCATAACATATATATAAGGATCTTGAATGTGTGTGTGTGCACACCATACAAATATACTATAGACAAATATATAAAAATATGGCATAGACTGAGTGGCTTAAACAACAAAATATATATTTTCTCACATTTCCAGAGGCTAGAAGTCTAAGATCAAGGTGTCAGTAGTTTGGTTTATTCTGAGGCCTCTTAGAATATATATACACACATACACACACACACACACACACACACACACACACTGTGATATATGTACACACATTAAAAATTTTTAAAATATATATAAATATATAAAACAACTATATATTAAAAACAACCGTACATTA
This sequence comes from Homo sapiens, assembly GCF_000001405.40. NCBI lineage: Eukaryota > Metazoa > Chordata > Mammalia > Primates > Hominidae > Homo > Homo sapiens. The sequence goes on along the minus strand of NC_000011.10, from coordinate 98,705,916 downwards.
TATATATATATACACACACACATATATAATCTCTTTGGAGATATTTTCCATATTTTTTTAGTAAGGCAGTGTATCTCAGTAGAAAAGATGGTGTTCTTGGAAGCCATGCTGCTTGACTTTAAATGCTGCCCTGCCACTCCCTGTTCTGTCACCCTGGGTCCTTAACTTCCCTTTCATCTTTATTTTTTCCATGGTGAGAATTATAGTACCTACCTCATATATTTGCTGTGGAGGGTAAATAAGTTAAATCACATATGGCATTTTGAAGAATACCTATACATATTCAATAATTTGCAGATGGTATTAACATAATCCTTTTAACTAAGTAACATATATCACAATTAAGCCCAAAGAATGTCAAATACAAATTAAGAAGAAGCATTTATTAATTTGCCAGTATAGAGAGTGTTGAAAATATGTCTATGCATGTATATGTATACATTAGGTATTTTATATATATATATAATTTAATTTCTCTCCGATGTGCTGTATTTCATAAGTGAACAACTAGAATCTCTTCAAATGTTTGTTATCAAGTTGAACATTGAACACTCTGATATTTAAGAATCAAGAGCGAAGAGAAAGAAGTCTATGTTAACTTGTAGTGTAAAAGGCCCAATACTTCCCTTTTTTTTTTTTTTTTTTTTTTTTTTGAGATGGATTCTCTCTCTGTTGCCAGGCTGGAGTGCAGTGGCGTGATCTGGGCTCACTGAAAGCTCCGCTTCCGGGGTTCATGCCATTCTCCTGCCTCAGCCTCCCGAGTAGCTGGGACAAGAGGCGCCCACGACCATGCCTGGCTAATTTTCGTGTATTTTTAGTAGAGACGGGGTTTCACCGTGTTATCCAGGATGGTCTCAATCTCCTGACCTTTTGATCCGCCTGCCTCGACCTCCCAAAGTGCTGGAATTATAGGCGTGAGCCACCGCGCCCAGCTGGCTCAACACTTTTTACTTAGTGATCAACCCAACACATCTGTTTTCACATATATATATATATATATATATATATATATATATATATATATATATACACACACACACACACATACATATATACACACACACATATATTTATATATGTATAAATATATATATAATTTAGAGAAAACATTGTCCTCTTTTACATAATTAATATTTAAAGTAACAGTGTATTATACTCACATATTAATTTTACTTGGAGAAATAATACAAAATTTGATATTTTTATTCCTGGTGGGGAGCTTGCTTCAGTGCATGATAAAACGGAATTAATATTCAATATTTGATAAACTGAATGGACAGAAAAGAATGACGGTTAAAAGAAATACTTGGAAACTGTCTACAGGCACATATTAAATTATGAGTTTAGAATATTCAGACGAAAGGCTTAAAAATGAATAGAAGCTAATTCTGAAAGAGTTCTTTTAGAATCACATATTTAAAACACGACATACATATGTCTACTTGGAATGTGAAACACAACAGTGTACAGTGGATTACATGATTTATCAAAGATTTCTTCCACTCTCTGACTCCGTGAGTCTGTAGAAACTTTACAGATCTAGCAGCCATGAATACTCATGATGCCTCTCAGCACACTAAATCATTAGTCTGACTTGGCCTTCTTCTGTATATGGTGTCAAGTGTTTAGGGCACTTTTCTTCTATTTTGGTTCTAAATTACGATGACAACTTCCTATTTTGCAGCAAGTAGTTTTCTTATTTTCATTGTCATTGAAGTTCACTTGAGAGGTAGGAAACAATCCTGTATTTGCTAAATGGGAAATTCAATTGTTTCAACCTTTTGCAGCATTACACTTGAAATAGTTTTCCTTTTTTTAACCAAGAGCTATCTTAATAATTCATATCTAAGTGTGAGTGAAAAATTACTGATGATCCTGAAAAGGGGCAGAGCCCTGTTTCCCAGTTCCTGATTATGGCCCTGATCTGACAAGTGAAAATAAAAGGTAAGATTTACTGGCAGCAAAGAATAGCTATGAAATTCATGGGCTTAGAAAATTTGACTTATTTATTTAACTGAGTTTGAAATGAAATATACAGTATAGTGCAAGTGAGGGTCAGAGGGAAATTAAATAAGAGATCGGGGAGTGGAAATATTACCTGAGCTTGATTGAATATCAAATAAACACAATATATATTTACTCAGTTCTCTTGAGACTATTTTATTAAAACAGCTTTCTTCCTATTTTTCAATAAATAAATAAATATTATTTTTCATTGCGAGAAAGAAGACACTTGGGAGGACATCTTTATTGGAGCTTGAAGACATGATGAATTTGTATCAGCAAATAGGAATCTCATTGATTGTCCCAATCAATGTGTTTTCCTAATTGATAGCATTGCTAAGTAGGTTAGGTTAGATAGAAATGCCCTTTCTGTTAATTTATTAACAATGTGATACCTCTATGGATATCGTGTGCTATTTGAAAGGCAAAATCTCAAAGTTTACTTATATGAAAGAAGACAAAATGAACTATAGAAATTATTCACAAGAGTCACTAACATAAATCTTATATCAAACTGCACACAAAGGAAAGGTATCATTAAGATAGATATCTAAATATCATCTCCAATTTTTCCTGTAACTAAAAAGTTGGAGAAGGTGATAAATACATAAGAAGGGTAAACTCACCAAAGATAAAACACCCTCCTTGTCAGCCACATAGCCAAGTGCTCCCACTCTACATTTTTGGACCTCACAATCCTACTAAATTACTCACACAGGCTTCTGTATAGGAAAGACAACCTAAAAATGCTTTTCACCTTAAGCAGTTACTTTCCAAGGAGGGGTAGTTTGGTACTATATATTTTGACTGAGATTTACAATTATGATGTTCAAGTCCCTTGGAATATATGAGTGTCTTTAGAATTAAAATATTGTATGCTTCTTGCCCAGGCGCAGTGGCTCACGCCTGTAATCCCAGCACTTCGGGAGGCCGAGGCGGGCAGATCACCTGAGGCCAGGAGTTTAAGACCAGCCTGGCCGAAATGGTGAAACCCTATCTCTACTGAAAAAAAAAAAAGCCAAAAACAAAAATTAGCCAGGCATGGTGGCTAGTGCCTGTAATCCCAGCTACTTGGGAGGCTGAGGCAGGAGAATCGCCTGGGAGGCAGAGGTTTCAGTGAGCCAAGACCATGCCATTGCACTCCAGCCCTCAGGAAAAAAAAAAAAAAAAAAAAAAAAAAAAAAAAGTATACTTCTTTTACCCATCTATGAATAAAATACTGTTTAGAAAGAAAAATAAATAAAAATACATCATTTTGTTTTTTCAAATTTACTTAGATTTTCTGGAAGGTTTTACATGTCAATAGGCACTAATGATTCTAGAGAATTTTGCATAATTGGAAGACATGAATATCTTGTTTTAAGTATTTAGGGACACATTAAAAACTGGTATGCAATAAATTCTGATATTTTGCAAATGCCAATATATTTTTAGGAGCAAACGGATTAACAAAAGCTTTAGAAAGTTTTCTTGTAAGGATACATCAAACAAAATGATGTTTGAAATGGCTAAGTAGGTAATTCAATTCTACTTGTTACATATAAAAATGTGTGCAAGATATGGTATTTTAAAACAAATGTTTTTGAAAAGTGTTCATTAATTACTAATATATTTTATTTTATGAGAAAATAAATATGCGCCCACACTGTAAAGTGACTGAACTATCACTGTGAGGTAGTGCATTGTTAGATTATTGAAAAGAAAATGGTTATTGAAAGCTGAAATGTATAGCCTGCTTTAATGTTTCAATATAAATACACATTGTATTTTGCAGAATGCAAACAAGAATATAAAATAAAAGTGTTCTGTTGGAAACTAGTGTACAAAATCTAGGTAGAAATTCAGAATATTCATGAAAGAATGTGTACTGGGAAGCCAGATAATACAAATACTGATGAAAACATTAAGTGTTGCTATCCTAATGTTTTCTCAAACTGGAATGATAGAATGACACTTTAAATTGAATGATGTAGCCTCATTAGCAAAATGGCTGACTAGAAAGCTTCAAACATTTGCTTCCCATGAAGATTTTAAAACACAAACAAAAATCAACTAAAATAACCACATACCAATTCTGGAAAACATTCAAAGGACTACAGCAATCAAGTGAACACCACATCAGAAAAAAAGCAACATTTAACATGCAGAAAATGTTACAGTGGTTTTCTTCATTGTTGCCTTATCTTATCCATGGCATGATGCGGTTTTGGTCTGGAGGAGGCAACAGCCCATTTCTTAATTTATTCTCTGACATAAAAGAAGGGCAGAACAGACTTTCTTTGCAGTGTTTTAACTTGTCTCAGGCTGATGGAAAGACAGCTTTTCTTTTTTTTTCCAAAACAAATAAAAATATTTATTTTAAGATTCCAAAATTCATATGTAAAAATTATAATTTTTAGCATCATATTTGATTTATATGCTACTTTATTATTTTTTCCATTATGGTGGTATTTTCCAAAATTTTTACACAATACCACTTTTAAAAATCCCGTTGAATGCAAGTCCTCTTTGTTGGTAAGAGAATTATTGACTTCTAATTTTTTTTTTAATACTCTTAAGTTCTGGGGTACATGTGCAGAACATGCGGTTTTGTTACATAGGTATACACGTGCCATGGTGGTTTGCTGCACCCATCAATGCGTCATCTACGTTAGGCATTTCTTCTAATGCTATCCCTCCCCTAGCCCCCCACCTCCCGACAGGCCCTGGTGTGTGATGTTCCCCTCCCTGTGTCCATGTGTTTTCACTGTTCAACTCCCACTTATGAGTGAGAACATGTGGTGTTTGGTTTTGTGTCCTTGTGATAGTTTGCTGAGAATGACAGCTTCCAGCTTCATTCATATCCCTGTAATGGACATGAACTCATCCTTTTTTATGACTGCATAGTATTCCATGGTATATATGTGCCACATTTTCTTTATCCAGTCTGTCATAGATGGACATTAGGGCTGGTTCCAAGTCTTTTCTATTGTAAACAGTGCTGCAATAAACATAGGTGTTCATGTGTCTTTGTAGTAGAACGATTTATAATCCTTTGGGTATATGCCCAGTAATGGGAGTGCTGGGTCAAATGATATTTCTAGTTCTAGATCCTTGAGGAATCACCACACTGTCTTCCACAATGGTTGAGCTAATTTACACTCCCACCAACAGTGTAAAAGCATTATTTCTCCACACCTCTCCAGCATCTGTTGTGTCCTGACTTTTTAATGATCACCATTCTAACTGGTGTGAAATGGTACCTCACTGTGGTTTTGATTTGCATTTCTCTAACGACCAGTGAAGATGAGCATTTTTTCATATGTTTGTTGGCTGCATAAATGTCTTCTTTAGAGAAGCATCTGTTCATATCTTTTGCCCACTTTTTGATGGGGTTGTTTTTTTCTTGTAAATTTGTTTAAGTTCTTTGTAGATTCTGGATATTAGCCCTTTGTCAGATGGATAGATTGCAAAACTTTTCTCTCATTCTGTAGGTTGCCTGTTCACTTTGATGATGGTTTCTTTTGCTGTGCAGAAGCTCTTTAGTTTAATTAGACCCCATTTGTCAATTTTGGCTTTTGTTGCTGTTGCTTTTGGTATTTTAGACATGAAGTCTTTGCCCATGCCTACATCCTGAATGGTATTCCCTAGGTTATCTTCTAGGGTTTTTATGGTTTTAAGTCTTACATTTAAGTCTTTAATCCACCTTGACTTGATTTTTGTATAAGTTTTAAGGAAGGGGTCCGGTTTCAGTTTTCCAAATATGGCTAGCCAGTTTTCCCAATGCCATTTATTAAATAGGGAATCTTTTCCCCATTGTTTGTTTGTGTCAGGTCTGTCAAAGATCAGATGGTTGTAGATGTGTGGTGTTATTTCTGAGGGCTCTGTTCTGTTCCATTGGTCTATATTTCTGTTTTGGTACCAGTACCATGCTGTTTTGGTTACTCTAGCCTTGTAGTATAGTTTGAAGTCAGGTAGTATGATGCCTCCAGCTTTGTTCTTTCTGCTTAGGATTATCTTGGCTATGCGGGCTCTTTTTTGGTTCCATATGAAGTTTAAAGTAGTTTTTCCAATTCTGTGAAGAAAGTCATTGGTAGCTTGATGGAGATAGCATTGAATCTATAAATTTCTTTGGGTAGTATGGCCATTTTCATGATATTGATTCTTCCTATCCATAAGCATGGAATGTTTTTCCATGTGTTTGTGTCCTCTCTAATTTTCTTGGGCAGTGTTTAGTAGTTCTCCTTGAAGAGGTCAGTAGGGGCTGACAAAGACCTCTTTAAGACTGTTTTTCTTAACTCAGATCTCAGACAGGGAGAAACAGTATCTGCTGCTCAGGAAAGCTACATGGACACTACAAAGCCACAGATGCCTGCGACAAGAGATTACTGGTAGAGACTTAACAATAGACAATCTAAGGTCCCAAGGAGAAGCTGATGTGAGACTCTTTGGGAAATTATGACATTTAAATGTAGCCTTGCATACTGGGAAATGCAAAAGCCCACTGCTATGATTTGGATGCTTGTCCCCTTAAAAATCTCAGGGTGAAATTTGATCCCCAGTGCTCCAGGTAAAGTCTAATGGGAAGTGTTTGGTCATGGGGGAAGATCCCTCAGTGAGAGATTAATAGCCTCCCTGGACATGGGGTGAGTGCACCCCCTTCTAGTAAAAGAAACTGGTGGCACCCCCTTCTAGTAAAATAATCTGGCACCACCCCACTTCCCTGGACATGTGGTGAGTGCTTTCTCATTCTATTAGTTCCCATAACTCTTTAAAAGAATCTGGCACCACCCACTTCTCTCTCTTGCTTCCTCCCTTGCCATGTGACCTCTGCACATGTCAGCTCCCCTTTATTTCTGCCATGAGTGAAGTAGCCTGAGGCTTTCACCAACCACAGGGCCAATCTTCCAGGCAGTGGAATCATTAACTAAATAAACCTCTTTTCTTTATAAATTACTGAGCCTTGGGTATTCCTTTATAGCAACACATAGAAATTAGACAGAAAATTGGTACTGAGTATTGCTTGTTACTATAAGGATAACTGAAAATGTAGAAGTGGCTTTGGAAGTTGGTAATGGGCAGAAGTTGGAAGAGTGAGGAGGGCACAGAAAATGACATAAAAATGAGGGAAAGTATGGAACTTTTCAGAGATTGGTTAAGTGGTTATGACCAAAGTGCTTCTAGAAATATAGACAGCCAAGGCCATGTTGATGTGTCATCGGACAAAATGAGGAACTTACTGAGAACTAGAGAAAAAGTCACCCATTTAAACTAAGCAAAGAATATGGAAGCATTCTGTCTATGCCCTAGGGCTTGGCAGAAGGCTGAATTTAAGAGTGATGACCTAGGTTATCTAATAGAAGAAATTTCTACAGCAAAGCCTTCAAGAGGTGGTAGAGCTGTTTTTAACAATTTAATATCAGGTAGGGCAACAGAGTAATAACCTATAGGTGCAGTTTATAATTAAAGGAAAAGCAAAATGCAGAAATCTGAAAAATTTGCAGCCTGCCTATGTGGTAAAGAATGAAATAACATTTTTTAGACGAAAAATCCAACAGTACTGCAGAGCAAACACTTGCTGGAGAGATTAGCATGACCAAAGAAAGCTAGATGCTTTCAAGACAATGGGAAAAAGGTGTCAAAGTCATTTTAGAAATCTTCAAGGTTACACCTCCCATTAGAATCCAGAAGCTTGGGAGGACAGAATGGTTTTTTTGGGGATGGGGTCAAGCATTGCTGCCCCACACCACCTTGAGATGTTACTCAATGCATTCTAGCCACTGTAGCTCCAGTGGTGGTTCAAAGGACCTCAAATACTGTTAAAGCCACAGTTCTGAAGAGCAAAAGTGGTAAGCATTGCTGGTTTCCATATCTTGCTAAGTCTGCGGCACTCAGAATTCAAGAGCGGTGGAGGCTTGGCCACTTCGACCTAGATTTCAGAGGATGTATTGGAAAGGCTGGGTGCCCAGAAATAATCTTTCCACAAGGACAGGGTCACTGGAGAGACCCTCTACTAGGGGAGTGCATAGTGGAAATTTGGGAGCAGCGTTGCTGCCTTTCAGACACCAGAATTATAAAGCCACGGAAAGCATGCCACCTTAGTCTGGAAAAGCCTCAGGCATTTAACTGCAAACAGGAGAGCAGTTCTGGCAAAGACAGAACTTAAAGACAAATGTATCAAATAATTATAGGTCTGTGTTAATGGGTATACAACATACAAAGATGGAATGTGTGACATTAGTAATATAAAATAAGGGGGTACATAATTATATAGAAGTAAATATTTTGCATGCAATTGAAGTTAAGTTCCTGCCAAATCAAATTGTTATAACTTTAAATTGTTATATGTAATTTCCATGATGACCACATTGAAAATATAAAATATGGAAATCAAAATATGACCCATTTATCTTATATCTTCAAAAATATTTATTCACTGGCACTTTCTCTTTGTATTTTTGCATTTTGTGAGTTTTTCTCATCACTTCAAAACAACAACAATGTCACTGGTAAACCTTTATTGAGTTTCTTGAACTTCATTCACCTATTGCCTTGTCACATCTCTAAAAAGTTATATTCTTGACAGAGATTATAACACTTATTCATTCTTCATTACCCCGTGACCCAAAAAGTCCTACCCACATATACAATAATTTTTTTGTTACTGAAATGAATCAATACTTTTCAGACTTTATTTGTATATTTTGCAATTTTTACCTACTACTGCCAATTCTCTTTTGTTATCCATAGATTATTTTTTTTCCTTTTGTTACTGTGTCTTTTAATTTTCTGTAATTCCCCTGGACAAATCTTTCTCAGTTTCCTTCATAGACTATTTTCTACCACTCTCTCTCTCTCTCTCTCTCTCTCTCTCTCTCTCTCTATATATATATATATATATATATATATATACCACTCATATATATATAAAATATATATTATATATTTATATTATATGTTAATATTCATATTACTATATTGATATTATATATTAATATAATATAAATATATTTTATATTAATAACATTATATATTCTATACAATAGAATATATAATTACATATATATGAGTGGTATATATATAGTGTGTGTGTGTGTATATATATATATATATATATATATATATATATATATATACACACACACACACACATATAACTTCCAGATATCCACCTCACTCTTCTCTCTAGACACAAGTAATTGGTAATCGGAAAAAGAAATATAACCTATGAGCTACTTGCAAATGTGTTGGCAATAAGTTTTGGTGCTTAAAATTAACCTAGAAAACTATTGATATTTACTGATCAGGGAAAGAAGATGGTAATTTCCCTAAAACATTTGAGATAATACTTTACAATGAGGAATATTCTCCCCAAAACATCAATAATTCCATTTTTCTAAAACATTGCCCTGTAAGATTTTTCTGAATGGCCTATGACTGCAGAAGTTCTATCTTCATCTGTATATAATTATTACCAAGCTTATATTCCTTGTTTAATGGATGTGGTGAACTTCAAGACCTAAATGTTACAAAGATAATTCAAGCTAAATATTGTTTAAAACTAGATTAATCAGCTCTCTCTTTAGAATGTTTTTTTCTCATTATATTTTCTATTTCAGTGATCAACATCATAAGCCTAGTTGCCTAACACAAAAACCTGGTAATTGTCTTTGAATACATTTTTTTCGTATTGCCTCTTATTAAAACCAAGACCCAGTCTCCTCTAAAAAGAGATGAATGAGTTTATAGTAGAAACCATTCAACTAGTACTACACTGTGGAGAACCATTTTTATTCCCTAATGATTTTTATTGATTTATTCATATGATTCCAGAAAATATGTATGTCTTTAAATAAAAACTATTATATCCACATTTATACTGTGTTCACATACATTTTTTAAACAAAAATTGAATTATTGTATGTAATTGAACCTGAAACTTATTTGTTTTTTACATAATAATATGTGATAAATATATTCTAGGGTAGTGTATATATTCTACCTCATAATTTTGTAATTGTTAAATTCCATCTCATTATATGCATTTATCATATTCTAACTCTTGCCTATAAATAAGCCATTTATAAATCTGATTTTTCTACCTTTGCAAAACAGTGCATATTAACATCAGAGCTCAAATTATTTTTACTTATTAATGCGGTTAATGCTATAAGACATAATCTTTAAAAAGAAATGTTATTTAAATGTTTTGTGTGGTGACATATAACAAAAGCACATTATAAATTGGTTTTTACCAATTCATTCTTAAACCAAGAATATGTAAGCCTCACCAAATCCTCACCACCAACAAAAGATGGTATTATTATTTTTCATGTTTATAAAATTTAATAGGCATACACATACACATGCACAAACATACACATTATATATCCATTTTAAAAATTTGGATTGTATTCAGTAGTAATATTTGGAAAGTTTCATAGACTAATTTACATTTGATTTTTTTATTATGTGCATTACCTGTTCCTGTAATTTTCCTATGTATATTCTAGAGTTGTCATATAGATTTACAGATGTTCTTTTTTACATCATAAATCTAATTATTTTGACTGTTGATTGTGTTATAGATTTTCTTACTCTGTGGTATCTTTTTCTATGTTTATATTCACTTTCAGTAATTTTTATTACTCCTATTTTAGCCTTAAGATTAACCCAACATATTTGAGAATTTGATATGTAAGAAAGTCTTCTAATATTATTTTGAAATATGTTTTACCATTGGGCTGCAACAGTTAATTACTAACTCATTTTATCATTAATTTATAAAATTATACCTTTACAGAGGGTGCTTTCATCTATACTAGGTTCTGTTTCAGAGCTTTCTCTAGGAAGTCATTGGTCTTTTGGTCTGTTCTTAGACCAAAACTAAACTTATCTATCTATCTATCTATCTATCTATCTATCTATCTATCTATCCACACACACACACACACACATACATATGTATGCATATATACACACACATATATATACACATATATCTGTAAATAAAAAGAACCCTTTTTCTCATAACGTTAAATGTTTGCTGAGAGAGACTTCTCACATGATAATGTGAGAAGTTCTGCAGATGTAAAAAAAATTTATAAAAATCTTTTGAAATGGTCCTGAGGACATACAGCAAACGAGGAATCATCTGATGAAAACTGTCTATTAATGTTTGGTAAGAAAATTATGACTATGATATTTGAACTGAGCCCACTCTCTCTCTGCCTCCCTCATTCCATCTTAGTGAGTTCCAATTCCTACTTGAGACTGGTGCAAAAAATAACATACGAAAGTTTCTCCCCCTAGCTCCAAGTTGAAGGTCTTTTTACTGGAAGAAGCAGAATGTCAAGACTCATCATTTTATCCCTAGCTACATGTTGCTGAGCATAAGTTCCAGGCAAGTGTAGCCATTAAATGAGAAATCCCTTTGTCTGCTTATCTCTCACTCATGGAGTGAAGGTTCTACCTAAGGAATCGTACTATTGAGAATACTAAAACCCTGATTGCCCTTGACCCAGTTTGATCCTAGGAGAGGCAAGTTGAAAGGATTTAAGGCTACTACCATGCATTAGTCTGTTCTCACACAGCGGTTAAGATACTATCTGAGACTGGGTAATTTATAAAGGAGAGAGGTTTAATTGACTCACAGTTCTGCATGGCTGGGGAGACCTCAGGAAACTGACAATCATGGCGGAAGGCAAAAAGGAAGCAGGCACCTTCTTCACAAGATGGCAGGAGAGACAGTGAGTGAAGGGGAAACCACCACTTTTAAAACCATCAAATCTGGTGAAAATTCCTTCACTATTATGAGAACAGCAAAGGGGAAGCCACCCCCATGATCCAATTACCTGCCATTAGGTCCCTACCTCAACACATGGGGATTGCAATTTGAGATGAGATTTGGGTGAGATCACAGAGCCAAACCATATCGTTCTGCCCCGGCTCCTCTCAAGTCTCAATGTCTTTTTCACATTTCAAAACCAATCATGCCTTTCCAACAGTCTCCCAAAGTCTTAACTCATTCCAGCAGTAGCCCAAAAGTCCAAGTCCAAAGTCTCATCTGAGACAAGGCAAGTCCCTTCCACCTATGAGCCTGTGAAATAAAAAGCAAGGTAGTTACTTCCAAGAAAAAATGGGGGTACAGTCCTTGAGTAAATCTCATTCCAAATGGGAGAAATTGGCCAAAACAAAGGGCCCACAAACCCCATGCATGTCTGAAACCTGACCAGGCAGTCATTAAATCTTTAAACTCCAAAATTCCTTTGACTCTATTTCTCATAACCAGAGCATGCTGATGCAAGAGTTGGGCTCCTACAGCTTTGGGCAGCTCCGCCCCTGTGGCTGTGCAGGATACAGCCCCTGTGACTGCTTTCACAGGCTGGCATTGAGTGCCTGCAGATTTTCCAGGTGCACAGTGCAAGCTGTTGGTGGATCTACCATTCTTGGGTCGGAAGGATGTTGGCCCTCTTCTCACAGCTCCACTAGGCAGTGTCCCAGTGAAGACCCTGTGTGGGGACTCAACCGCATATTTCCTCTCTGTGTTGCCCTTGTAGAGAGTCTCCATAAAAGCTCCACTCCTGCAGCAGACTTCTGCCTAGACACTGAGGCATTTTCATACATCCTCTGAAATCTAGGCAGAGGCTCCCAAAGCTCAATTCTTGTCTTCTGAGCACCCACCGCACCTTCTGAAGCAACAGCCTGAGCTGCATCTAGGTCCTTTTTAGCCACAGCTGGATCTGGAGTGGCTGGGACACAGGGCACTAAGGTCACAAAACCATTTTTCCCTCCTGTGATCGGAGGGGCGGCTACAAAGATTTCTGAAATGCCCTAAAGACACTGCCCTCATTGTCTTGGTTACTAACATTCAGCTCCTTGTTACTTATGCAAATTTCTGCAGCAGTCTTGAATTTCTCCCCAGATTCCTTTTCTACTCCATGGTCAAGCTGCAAATTTTCCAAACTTTTATGCTCTGCTTCCCTTTTAAACATAAGTTCCAATTTCAAATTATCTCTTTGTGAATGCATGTAAGTGTATACCACCTCTTGAATGCTTCACTGCTTAGAATTTTTTCTTTTCTGCCAGATACACTAAAATATCTCTTTCAAGTTCAAAGTTCCACAGATCTCTAGGACAGGGGCAAAATGCCACCAGTCTCTTTGCTAAAGCATAGCAAGAGTGACCTTTGCTCCAGTTCTCAGTAAGTTTCTTATCTCCATCTGAGACCACCTCAGCCTGGACTTTATTGTCCATATCACTATTTTGGTCAAGACCATTCAACCAACAAGTTTCTAGGAAGTTCCAAACTTTCCCTCATCTTCCTGTTTCCTTCTGAGCCCTCCAAACTGCTCCAATCTCTGCCTGTTACCTAGGTCCAAAGTCACTTCCACATTTTCAGGTTATCTTCATAGCAGTGCCCCACTCTGCCAGTACCAATTATCTGTATTAGTTCATTTTCACACTGCTATACAGATACTAAGACTGGGTAATTTATAAAGGAGAGAGTTTTAATTCACTCACAGTTCCATATGGCTGGGTAGGCCTTAGGAAACTTACAATCATGGCAGAAGGGGAAGCAGGCACCTTGTTCACAATGCGGCAGGAGAGAGAGAGAGCACGGGGGAAACTGCCACCTTTAAAACCATTAGATCTCATTAGAACTCCCTCATTATCCTGAGAAAGCATGGGGGAAAGAGTCCCCATGATCCATCACCTCCCACCAGGTTCTTCCCTCAACATGTGGGGACTACAATTTGAGATAAGATTTGGGTAGGGATACAGAGTCAAACCATATCATACCACTTACCTCTGACAGCTCAGCTCCTAATGTAAAGGTTTCATTTCAAGAGAAGCATGCCATTGTTTTTAAGTAGGGTCTAACTAGAACTCTGGTTTGCCATTTTGCCTGAGGGGAAAACCAGGCTGTAAAATACATAGTTCCTAATTTTTTCCTAAAATCTCTGATTGCATTTGCAATGGAGTGTAGGAAAGTTCAAACCCAAGGGTGATCTCAAAAATAGTGGAGGTAGTATTGAAAGGCAATTAGGAGTAGAGTTGCAGATTCAAGAAAGATACAGGCTAAATTGTAAGCCAACCCGTTTGCAGGATAAAACAAGACTAAGTGGCAACTGACAGAGGCTCTTATAGTCAGAATTAATATCAAAAATTGACCTCTGGATCCCTGAATTTGACTGAATTAGTTTGCAATTTATTTCCTAAGGCATTTTTGTTAAAAAAAAAAAAAGATAAATCAGCTAGCAATTAATGAAAGTTCTCAGCTGGTTATGGTCCAGGAAAGAGATAAAGAGAGCCTTGCCAAATTCATTGTCATACCAGCATGACCGTGCCCATACCCAAAGCTGTGTCTCTAGGAGGAGCAACATTATGGAGTTAGGACTACAGGAGGAGAGGGCTGGGATAAACTTTATTAAAATATTCCAGCTAGGGATTAAACAAATGATAAGGAGAATAAAAATAACAAACCCTTGAGAAAAAGGGCAGTAACTACAGTTGCTACAATATATTTCCTACAATGCCCAGCTTCAAACAACAACAAGAATTATGTGAGATATGCAAAATGTAAGAAAGTATGACCCTTACTCTGGAAAAAATTCTGGCAAAAGACAGTGCCTGTGAGAGTAATCAGACATCAGTTTCAAGAGAAAATAAAACTCAGTGTAGTCATTACAAATATCATTACAAATATATATAAAGAACTAAAGGAAACCATGAGTACACATGTAAAATAAGGAATTAGAACAACGTGACACCAAATAGAGAATATCAATAAAGAAATAAAAATTTCATAAATAAAGAAATAGAAATCATGGAATTGATCAGTACAGAAGTGAAATGAAATCCACTATAAGATCTCAACAGTAGATTTCACTGACAGAAGAAAGAGTTAGGGAACCTGAAAATAGATAGATAATGGTTATGTAATCTGAAGAATGTAGAAAAAAAGAATGAAGACTATGAACAGAACCTCAGAGAAATGTGGGACAACATTAAGCACAAAATTAATATGCCTAATGGGTGTACCCAAAAATGAAGAGAGAAAAGAACAGAAAAAATAGTTGAAGTAATAATGGCTGAAACTTCCTAAATTTATTGAAAAATACATCCAGGAAACTCAACAAATTCCAAGTAGGGAAAATACAAAGAAATTCACAAAGTAGTATGTCATAGTCAAATGCTAAAAATCACACAAGGAGAAAACTTTGAAAGCCACAGGAAAAAAAAAGTCAATCACTAGAAAACACCATTAAAATCAATAGCTGGCTTCTCAGTAAAGACAATGGAGGTCAGAGTCAGTAAGATAACACACTCAGAATGCTCACAGGAAAATAAAATGAAAAGTAAAACTGTCAACCAGGAATCCCATATCCAGCAAAGCTATTTTCAGAAATGAAGGTAGATACCCAGGCATTTTCATACATCCTCTGAAATCTAGGCAGAGGCTCCCAAAGCTCAAATCTTGTCTGCGCACTAACAGCACCAAGAGAATTTGTGGCTAGCAGACCTAACTTATAAGAAATACTAAAGGAAGTTCCTCAGGCTGAGCACAAGTAACCAAAAATGGTAATTTAAATCCACATTTAAAAATAAAGAGAACTGGTAATTAATTATAAAGCATAGCATAATTAATGTTTTTAATCATTTCTTCTCTTAACTGATTCAGAAAGCAATTGTCTAAAATAGAATCTGTGTAATATACTATTAAGCCTATTTCATATAGAAATGTAATACATTTGAAATGTAATACATTTCAAATGTATTTGTCAGTAGGAGCATAAAGGAAACAAAAATTGGAAAACTCAAAATCTCTGGAAAAATACACATACACCTAAAAACCAATGGGTTAAAGAAAAAATAAAAAGAACTCGGATCATACTTTGAGATGAAGGAAAATGAAATCAAAACACACTAAAATGTATGTAATGCAGTTACAGTACTGCTCAGAGGGAAGTTTATAGCTTCAAATTCCCTTATTAAAGATCTAAAACCAATAACCTCAAAATATAGCTTAAGATGCTGCAAAAAAGCAAACTGAAAGCAAACAAAATAAAGCGGAAATGAAGAATAAAGATTTGAGTGAAAAATAATGAAATACCAGAAAAACCAATAGAGAATAGAAATACAACCATAATACCTGGTTCTTTGAAAAGATCAACAAAGTAAAAAAAAAAAAAAAAGCTAGATTTACAAAGCAAAAAAAAAAAAAGAGAAGACTCAAGGAAGTGACAGACTTCTTGAAACTTACTTGATAAGAAATCATCTGCATATACCTACAAGCAAAGTGATTAAAATAGCAATCAATGAGTTAAAAATAAGCCCAGGCTCAGATGGCTTCACTAACGAATTTTACCAAAATTTGAAGAAAAACTAATATTCATTATTCACAAATGCTTCCAAAAATAAAAAAGGCAATAATTCCCAACTTATTTTATGAGGCCAGTATTATTATGATTTTAAACAAACAAACAAAGACCTTGCAAGGAAAGGAAACCACAGATCACAAACTCATGTGAATATGTAGGCAAAACTCTTCAACATAGTACATAGTACTTGCAAACAAGATCCAGAACAACATAAAAAGAATTATATACCGGGATCAGTGTCATTGATCTGACCAAGATTGATTTATCATCTGAAAATCAATTAATGTAACACATTCTATGAATAGATCATTTTTAAAAAACAAAAAAGCACATTGTTATCTCAATAAACACAGATATGGAATTAGAAAAATCTAACACTTTTTTAATGATAAAAACATCCAACAAACTAGAAAAAGAAAGGAATTTTCTCAGCTTCATAAAGGGAATCTACGAAACACCACAGTAACATCTTACTTAACAGTAAAAGAATGGATGTTTTCACTCTTAAGATCAAAAGCAAGTAAGTATGTCCACTCTTGCCACTTCTATTCAAAACTGTACTGCAGCTTCTAGCTATAGCAAATACACCAGAAAAAGAAGTAAAACCCATCCAGTTGAAAGGAACAAGTAAAACTGTCACTATTCAGAGATAACTTAATTATTTTTGTAGAAAACCCTAAAGAACACACTAAAGAAAAAAAAAACTATTAGTGCTAATAAATGCGATTGGCAAAGTTGTAGAATACAAGATCAATATTTAAAAAGTATTGTTTTTCTATACACTGTCAATGAACAATTTTAAAACAAAAGAAGAAAAAGCAATCCCATTTGCAATATCATCAAGAATCAAGTAACAAAAATAAATTTAACAAAAAAGGTAAAATATTTTGTGAAAACTACAAATCATTGAAATAATTAAAGAAGTTCTAAATAATTTCATGTTAATAGATTGAAATACTTAGTATTTTTAGGATAGCAATACTTCCTAAATTAATGTACAGATTCAACACTTTCAACAATCACCTTCATCATCACAGCTGACTTTCTTTGTTGAAATTGACAAGCTAAGGATAAAACTTATATAAAATTGTAAGGAACCCAGACAAGTCAAAACAATTTCTAAAAAGTATAAGGTAGTAAGACTTAGACTTCCAAATATAAAAGTTTGTAAAAAGCAACAGTTATAAAGACAGTGTCATACTGGCTAGATAGACAGGGATAGATAGATCAATGAAATATATTTGAGAATCCAGTATGGTCAACTGATTTTTGACAAACATACCAAAGCTATTCAATGTGGAAAGAAGAATTGTTTCAATAAATTGTCCCAAGACCATTAGACAGCACATGGGGAAAAAAATGAAAATTGAATCCTTACCTCACACAGTTTTAAAGGTTTGACTCAAATAGATCAAGGAAGACCTAAATGTTAGAGTTAAAACTATAAAACTCTTAGAAGAAAATATTTGGATAAATCTTCATGGCATTGAATTTGGCAAAGTATTGTTGGATGTGATGTCAAAAGTATAAGCAACAATAGAAAACATAAGTGATTTGGACTTCCTCATACTAAAAATTTTGTGCATTAAAGCATACCATCAAGAGAGTGAAAAGACAACTCACAGAAAGAGAGAAAATATTTGCAAGTCCTGTGCCTGAGGAAGAACTTTTATTCAGAATGTATAAAGAACCTCTACAAATCCACAATAAAAGGACAAATCACTCGGGAGGCTGAGGACGGGGGAATTACTTGAACCCAGGAGGTGAGGTTGCAGTGAGCAGAGATCACGCCACTGCACTCCAGCCTGGGTGACAGAGCGAGACTTTGTCAAAAAAATAATAATAATAATCAGTAAATAATCTGAATAGACATTTCTCCAAAACGAAAAATATATATATAGCCATTAAGCAAATGATAACGTGCTCAACATTTGTCATCAGAGAAATGCCAATCAAAGCACAGTGAGATTCCA